>NC_000011.10:54342499-54425074 GCF_000001405.40 Homo sapiens | reverse complement strand
TCTATGTCGTTTTTATGAGAAGATATTTCCTTTTCCACCACAGTCCACAAAGCCCTCCAAATGTCCACCTGCAGATTCTAGAAAACGAGCGTTTCAAAGGTGCTGTATCAGAGGGAATGTTCGACTCTGTGAGGTGAATGCAAACATCACAAAGAAGTTTCTGAGAATGCTTCGGTTTAGCTTTTATGTGAAGTTTATCCCATTTCCAACGAAATCTTCGAAGAGGTCCAAATATCCACTGGCCGATCCCACAGAAAGAGTGTTTCGAAACTGCTGTTTCAAACGGAATCTTCAACTCTGTGAGTTGAATGCAATCATCACAAAGACGTTTCTGAAAATACTTCTCTCTAGTTCTTATGTGAAGATGTTTCCTTTTCCACCACAGGCCTGGAAGCGCTCCACATGTCCACTTGCAGATTCTACGAAAGGAGTGTCTCAAAACCGCTCTGTGAAAAGCGAGGTTAAACTGGGTGACCCGAACACAAACATCACAAAGAAGTTTGCGAGAATGCTTCAGTTTAGTTTTTCTGTGAAGATATTCCCGTTTCCAAAGAAATCTTCAAAGAAGTCCGCATATCCTCTTACAGATTCTACAAAAAGAGAGTTTCCAAACTGCTCAATCAAATGGAGGGTTCAACTCTGTGACCTGAATGCAATCACCACACAGAAGTTTCTGAGAATGCTTCTCTTGAGTTTTTACGTGAAGGTGTACCCGTTTCGAACGAAGGCCTCACAGTGGTCCAAATATCCACCTGCAGATTCTACCAAAAGAGTGTCTCAAAGCTGAACTATGAAAGGAAGGTTCAACTCTGTGAGTTGTATGCAAACATCACAAAGAAATTTCGGAGAATGCTTCTGTGTAGTTCTGGGAAGTGTATCCCCTTTCCAACGAAATCCTCAGAGAGGTCCGAATATCCACTTGCAGATCCTACCAAAAGTGTGTTTGGAAACTGCTCCATCTAAAGGAATGTTCAGCTCTCTCAGTTAAATACGATCATCACAAAGAATTTTCTGTGAATGCTTCCGTTTGGTTTTTATGTGAAGTTATTTCCTTTACTTCCGTTGGCATAAAAGCCGTCCAAATCTCCAATTGCAGATTCTACAAAAAGAGTGTTTACAAACTGTTCTACCCATAGGAATGTCCAACTCTGTGAGTCCGATGCAATCATCAAAAAGTGGTTTCTCAGAATGCTTCTATCTAGTTTTCATGTGAAGATATTTCCCTTTCAACCACAGGCCTCAAAGCCCTCCAAATGTCCACTTGCACATTCTAGAAAAAGAGCGTTTTGTAGCTGCTCTTTCCAGAGGAAAGTTCAATTCCGGAAGTTGAACACAAACATCACAAAGTAGTTTCTGAGAATGCTTCTGTTTAGTTTTTCGGTGAAGATGAACCCGTTTCCAACGAAATCTTCATAGAAGTCCACATATCCACTTGCAGATTCCAAAGAAAGAGAGTTTCAAAACTGCTCCATCAACAGGATTGTTCACCTCTGTGCGTTGAATGGAGTCATCACAGGAAACATTCTGAGAATTCTTCTGTCTAGGTTTGATGTGAAGATATACCCGTTTCGAAGGAAGGCCACAAAGTGGTGCAAATATCCACTTGCAGATTCTACAGAAAGAGTGTTTGAAAGCTGAACTATGAAAGGAAGGTTCAGCCTGTGAGTTGAATGCAAACATCACAAAGAAATTTCGGAGAATGCTTCCGATTACTTGTGGGAAGTTTATCCCGTTTCCAACGAAATGCTCAGAGAAGTCCAAATTTCCACTTGCACATTCTACAAAAAGTGTGTTTGGAAACTGCTCCATCAAAACGAATGTTCAGCTCTCTGAGTTAAACTCAATCGTCACAAAGAATTTTCTGAGAGTGCTACTGTCTAGTTCTTATATGAAGTTCTTCCCTTTACTACCATAGGCCTCAAAGCGGTCCAAATCTCCACTTGCAGATTCGACAGAAAGAGTGTTTCCAAACTGCTCTCTCAAAAGGAATGAATGTCCAACTCTGTGAGTTGAATGCTATCATCACAGAGTCGTTTCTGAGAGTGCTTCTATGTAGTTTTTATGAGAAGATATTCCCTTTTCCACCACAGTCCACAAAGCCCTCCCAATGTCCACCTGCAGATTCTAGAAAACGAGCATTTTAAAGGTGCTGTATCAGAGGGAAAGTTCGACTCTGTGAGGTGAATGCAAACATCACAAAGAAGTTTCTGAGAATGCTTCGGTTTAGCTTTTATGTGAAGTTTATCCCATTTCCAACGAAATCTTCGAAGAGGTCCAAATATCCACTGGCCGATCCCACAGAAAGAGTGTTTCGAAACTGCTGTTTCAAACGGGATCTTCAACTCTGTGAGTTGAATGCAATCATCACAAAGACGTTTCTGTCAATGCTTCTCTCTAGTTCTTATGTGAAGATGTTTCCTTTTCCACCACAGGCCTGGAAGCGCTCCACATGTCCACTTGCAGATTCTACGAAAGGAGTGTCTCAAAACCGCTCTGTGAAAAGCGAGGTTAAACTGTGTGACCCGAACACAAACATCACAAAGAAGTTTGCGAGAATGCTTCAGTTTAGTTTTTCTGTGAAGATATTCCCGTTTCCAAAGAAATCTTCAAAGAAGTCCGCATATCCTCTTACAGATTCTACAAAAAGAGAGTTTCCAAACTGCTCAATCAAATGGAGGGTTCAACTCTGTGACCTGAATGCAATCATCACACAGAAGTTTCTGAGAATGCTCCTCTTGAGTTTTTACGTGAAGGTGTCCCCGTTTCGAACGAAGGCCTCACAGTGGTCCAAATGTCCACCTGCAGATTCTACCAAAAGAGTGTCTCAAAGCTGAACTATGAAAGGAAGGTTCAACTCTGTGAGTTGTATGCAAACATCACAAAGAAGTTTCGGAGAATGCTTCCGTGTATTTCTGGGAAGTTTATCCCGTTTCCAACGCAATCCTCAGAGAGGTCCGAATATCCACCTGCAGATCCTACAAAAAGTGTGTTTGGAAACTGCTCCATCTAAAGGAATGTTCAGCTCTGTCAGTTAAATACAATCATCGCAAAGAATTTTCTGTGAATGCTTCCGTTTGGTTTTTATGTGAAGTTATTTCCTTTACTTCCGTAGGCCTCAAAGCCGTCCAAATCTCCAATTGCAGATTCTACAAAAAGAGTGTTTACAAACTGTTCTATCCATAGGAATGTCCAACTCTGTGAGTCCGATGCAATCATCACAAAGTGGTTTCTGAGAATGCTTCTATCTAGTTTTCATGTGAAGGTATTTCCCTTTCCACCGCAGGCCTCAAAGCCCTCCAAATGTCCACTTGCACATTCTAGAAAAAGGGCGTTTCATAGCTGCTCTTTTCAGAGGAAAGTTCAATTCCGGAAGTTGAACACAAACATCACAAAGTAGTTTCTGAGAATGCTTCTGTTTAGTTTTTATGTGAAGATGAACCCGTTTCCAACGAAATCTTCAAAGAGGTCCACATATCCACTTGCAGATTCCAAAGAAAGGGAGTTTCAAAACTGCTCCGTCAACAGGATTGTTCAACTCTGTGAGTTGAATGCAGTCCTCACAGGAAACATTCTGAGAATGCTTCTGTCTAGGTTTGATGTGAAGATATACCCGTTTCGAAGGAAGGCCACAAAGTGGTGCAAATATCCACTTGTAGATTCTACAGAAAGAGTGTTTGAACGCTGAACTATGAAAGTAAAGTTCAACCCTGTGAGTTGAATGCAAACATCACAAAGAAGTTTCGGAGAATGCCACCGATTACTTCTGGGAAGTTTATCCCCTTTCCAACGAAATCCTCTGAGAAGTCCAAATTTCCACTTGCAGATTCTACCAAAAGTGTGTTTGGAGACTGCTCCATCAAAATGAATGTTCAGCTCTCTGAGTTAAACTCTATCGTCACAAAGAATTTTCTGAGAGTGCTACTGTCTTGTTCTTATATGAAGTTCTTCCCATTACTACCATAGGCCTCAAAGCGGTCCAAATCTCCACTTGCAGATTCGACAGAAAGAGTGTTTCCAAACTGCTCTCTCAAAAGGAATGAATGTCCAACTCTGTGAGTTGAATGCTATCATCACAGAGTCGTTTCTGAGAGTGCTTCTATGTAGTTTTTATGAGAAGATATTCCCTTTTCCACCACAGTCCACAAAGCCCTCCAAATGTCCACCTGCAGATTCTAGAAAACGAGCGTTTCAAAGGTGCTGTATCAGAGGGAAAGTTCGACTCTGTGAGGTGAATGCAAACATCACGAAAAAGTTTCTGAGAATGCTTCGGTTTAACTTTTATGTGAAGTTTATCCCATTTCCAACGAAATCTTCGAAGAGGTCCAAATATCCACTGGCCGATCCCACAGAAAGAGTGTTTTGAAACTGCTGTTTCAAACGGGATCTTCAACTCTGTGAGTTGAATGCAATCATCACAAAGACGTTTCTGACAATGCTTCTCTCTAGTTCTTATGTGAAGATGTTTCCTTTTCCACCACAGGCCTGGAAGCGCTCCACATGTCCACTTGCAGATTCTACGAAAGGAGTGTCTCAAAACCGCTCTGTGAAAAGCGAGGTTAAACTGGGTGACCCGAACACAAACATCACAAAGGAGTTTGCGAGAATGCTTCAGTTTAGTTTTTCTGTGAAGATATTCCCGTTTCCAAAGAAATCTTCAAAGAAGTCCGCATATCCTCTTACAGATTCTACAAAAAGAGAGTTTCCAAACTGCTCAATCAAATGGAGGGTTCAACTCTGTGACCTGAATGCAATCACCACACAGAAGTTTCTGAGAATGCTCCTCTTGAGTTTTTACGTGAAGGTGTACCCGTTTCGAACGAAGGCCTCACAGTGGTCCAAATATCCACCTGCAGATTCTACCAAAAGAGTGTCTCAAAGCTGAACTATGAAAGGAAGGTTCAACTCTGTGAGTTGTATGCAAACGTCACAAAGAAGTTTCGGAGAATGCTTCCGTGTAGTTCTGGGAAGTTTATCCCGTTTCCAACGCAATCCTCAGAGAGGTCCGAATATCCACTTGCAGATCCTACAAAAAGTGTGTTTGGAAACTGCTCCGTCTAAAAGGAATGTTCAGCTCTCTCAGTTAAATACAATCATCACAAAGAATTTTCTGTGAATGCTTCCATTTGTTTTTTATGTGAAGTTATTTCCTTTACTTCCGTAGGCCTCAAAGCCGTCCAAATCTCCAATTGCAGATTCTACAAAAAGAGTGTTTACAAACTGTTCTATCCATAGGAATGTCCAACTCTGTGAGTCCGATGCAATCATCAAAAAGTGGTTTCTGAGAATGCTTCTATCTAGTTTTTATGTGAAGATATTTCCCTTTCCACCGCAGGCCTCAGAGCCCTCCAAATGTCCACTTGCACATTCTAGAAAAAGAGTGTTTCATAGCTGCTCTTTCAAGAGGAAAGTTCAACTCTGGAAGTTGAACACAAACATCACAAAGTAGTTTCTGAGAATGCTTCTGTTTAGTTTTTATGTGAAGATGAACCCGTTTCCAACGAAATCTTCAAAGAGGTCCACATATCCACTTGCAGATTCCAAAGAAAGGGAGTTTCAAAACTGCTCCATCAACAGGATTGTTCAACTCTGTGAGTTGAATGCAGTCCTCACAGGAAACATTCTGAGAATGCTTCTGTCTAGGTTTGATGTGAAGATATACCCGTTTCGAAGGAAGGCCACAAAGTGGTGCAAATATCCACTTGCAGATTCTACAGAAAGAGTGTTTGAAAGCTGAACTATGAAAGGAATGTTCAACCCTGTGAGTTGAATGCAAACATCACAAAGAAATTTCGGAGAATGCTTCCGATTACTTCTGGGAAGTTTATCCCCTTTCCAACGAAATCCTCAGAGAAGTCAAAATTTACACTTGCAGATTCTACCAAAAGTGTGTTTGGAAACTGCTCCATCAAAACGAATGTTCAGCTCTCTGAGTTAAACTCCATCGTCACAAAGAATTTTCTGAGAGTGCTACTGTCTAGTTCTTATATGAAGTTCTTCCCTTTACTACCATAGGCCTCAAAGCGGTCCAAATCTCCACTTGCAGATTCGACAGAAAGAGTGTTTCCAAACTGCTCTCTCAAAAGGAATGAATGTCCAACTCTGTGAGTTGAATGCTATCATCACAGAGTCGTTTCTGAGAGTGCTTCTATGTCGTTTTTATGAGAAGATATTTCCTTTTCCACCACAGTCCACAAAGCCCTCCAAATGTCCACCTGCAGATTCTAGAAAACGAGCGTTTCAAAGGTGCTGTATCAGAGGGAAAGTTCGACTCTGTGAGGTGAATGCAAACATCACCAAGAAGTTTCTGAGAATGCTTCGGTTTAGCTTTTATGTGAAGTTTATCCCATTTCCAACGAAATCTTCGAAGAGGTCCAAATATCCACGGGCCGATCCCACAGAAAGACTGTTTCGAAACTGCTGTTTCAAACGGAATCTTCAACTCTGTGAGTTGAATGCAATCACCACAAAGAAGTTTCTGACAATGCTTCTCTCTAGTTCTTATATGAAGATGTTTCCTTTTCCACCACAGGCCTGGAAGCGCTCCACATGTCCACTTGCAGATTCTACGAAAGGAGTGTCTCAAAACCGCTCTGTGAAAAGCGAGGTTAAACTGTGTGACTCGAACACAAACATCACAAAGAAGTTTGTGAGAATGCTTCAGTTTAGTTTTTCTGTGAAGATATTCCCGTTTCCAAAGGAATCTTCAAAGAAGTCCGCATATCCTCTTACAGATTCTACAAAAAGAGAGTTTCCAAACTGCTCAATCAAATGGAGGGTTCAACTCTGTGACCTGAATGCAATCATCACACAGAAGTTTCTGAGAATGCTCCTCTTGAGTTTTTACGTGAAGGTGTACCCGTTTCGAACGAAGGCCTCACAGTGGTCCAAATATCCACCTGCAGATTCTACCAAAAGACTGTCTCAAAGCTGAACTATGAAAGGAAGGTTCAACTCTGTGAGTTGTATGCAAACATCACAAAGAAGTTTCGGAGAATGCTTCCGTGTAGTTCTGGGAAGTTTATCCCGTTTCCAACGCAATCCTCAGAGAGGTCCGAATATCCACCTGCAGATCCTACAAAAAGTGTGTTTGGAAACTGCTCCATCTAAAGGAATGTTCAGCTCTCTCAGTTAAATACAATCATCGCAAAGAATTTTCTGTGAATGCTTCCGTTTGGTTTTTATGTGAAGTTATTTCCTTTACTTCCGTAGGTCTCAAAGCCGTCCAAATCTCCAATTGCAGATTCTACAAAAAGAGTGTTTACAAACTGTTCTATCCATAGGAATGTCGAACTCTGTGAGTCCGATGCAGTCATCCCCAAGTGGTTTCTGAGAATGCTTCTATCTAGTTTTCATGTGAAGATATTTCCCTTTCCACCGCAGGCCTCAAAGCCCTCCAAATGTCCACTTGCACATTCTAGAAAAAGAGCGTTTCATAGCTGCTCTTTCCAGAGGAAAGTTCAATTCCGGAAGTTGAACACAAACATCACAAAGTAGTTTCTGAGAATGCTTCTGTTTAGTTTTTATGTGAAGATGAACCCGTTTCCAACGAAAACTTCAAAGAGGTCCACATATCCACTTGCAGATTACAAAGAAAGAGAGTTTCGAAACTGCTCCATCAACAGGATTGTTCACCTCTGTGAGTTGAATGCAGTCATCACAGGAAACATTCTGAGAATGCTTCTGTCTAGGTTTGATGTGAAGATATACCCGTTTCGAAGGAAGGCCACAAAGTGGTGCAAATATCCACTTGCAGATTCTACAGAAAGAGTGTTTGAAAGCTGAACTATGAAAGGAATGTTCAACCCTGTGAGTTGAATGCAAACATCACAAAGATATTTCGGAGAATGCTTCCGATTACTTCTGGGAAGTTTATCCCCTTTCCAACAAAATCCTCAGAGAAGTCCAAATTTACACTTACAGATTCTACAGAAAGTGTGTTTGGAAACTGCTCCATCAAAACGAATGTTCAGCTCTCTGAGTTAAACTCCATCGTCACAAAGAATTTTCTGAGAGTGCTCCTGTCTAGTTCTTATATGAAGTTCTTTCCTTTACTACCATAGGCCTCAAAGCGGTCCAAATCTCCACTTGCAGATTCTGCAGAAAGAGTGTTTCCAAACTGCTCTCTCAAAAGGAATGCTCAACTCTGTGAGTTGAATGCTATCATCACAGAGTCGTTTCTGAGAGTGCTTCTATGTAGTTTTTATGAGAAGATATTCCCTTTTCCACCACAGTCCACAAAGCCCTCCCAATGTCCACCTGCAGATTCTAGCAAACGAGCATTTCAAAGGTGCTGTATCAGAGGGAATGTTCGACTCTGTGAGGTGAATGCAAACATCACAAAGAAGTTTCTGAGAATGCTTCGGTTTAGCTTTTATGTGAAGTTTATCCCATTTCCAACGAAATCTTCGAAGAGGTCCAAATATCCACTGGCCGATCCCACAGAAAGAGTGTTTCGAAACTGCTGTTTCAAACGGGATCTTCAACTCTGTGAGTTGAATGCAATCATCACAAAGACGTTTCTGACAATGCTTCTGTCTAGTTTTTATGTGAAGATGTTTCCTTTTCCACCACAGGCCTGGAAGCGCTCCACATGTCCAATTGCAGATTCTACGAAAGGAGTGTTTCAAAACTGCTCTATGAGAAGCAATGTTAAACTGTGTGACTCGAACACAAACATCACAAAGAAGTTTGTGAGAATGCTTCAGTTTAGTTTTTCTGTGAAGATATTCCCGTTTCCAAAGAAATCTTCAAAGAAGTCCGCATATCCTCTTACAGATTCTACAAAAAGAGAGTTTCCAAACTGCTCAATCAAATGGAGGGTTCAACTCTGTGACCTGAATGCAATCATCACACAGAAGTTTCTGAGAATGCTTCTCTTGAGTTTTTACGTGAAGGTATACCCGTTTCGAACGAAGGCCTCACAGTGGTCCAAATATCCACCTGCAGATTCTACCAAAAGACTGTCTCAAAGCTGAACTATGAAAGGAAGGTTCAACTCTGTGAGTTGTATGCAAACATCACAAAGAAGTTTCGGAGAATGCTTCCGTGTAGTTCTGGGAAGTTTATCCCGTTTCCAATGCAATCCTCAGAGAGGTCCGAATATCCACCTGCAGATCCTACAAAAAGTGTTTTTGGAAACTGCTCCATCTAAAGGAATGTTCAGCTCTCTCAGTTAAATACAATCATCGCAAAGAATTTTCTGTGAATGCTTCTGTCTAGTTTTTATATGAAGTTATTTCCTTTACTACCATAGGCTTCAAGGCTGTCCAAATCTCCACTTGCAGATTCTACAAAAAGAGTGTTTCCAAAGTGCTCTATCAATAGGAATGTTCAACTCTGTGAGTAGAATGCAGTCATCACAAAGTAGTTTATGAGAATGCTTCTATCTAGTTTTCATGTGAAGATATTTCCCTTTCCACCGCAGGCCTCAAAGCCCTCCAAATGTCCACTTGCACATTCTAGAAAAAGAGCGTTTCATAGCTGCTCTTTCCAGAGGAAAGTTCAATTCCGGAAGTTGGACACAAACATCACAAAGTAGTTTCTGAGAATGCTTCTGTTTAGTTTTTATGTGAAGATGAACCCGTTTCCAACGAAATCTTCAAAGAGGTCCACATATCCACTTGCAGATTCCAAAGAAAGGGAGTTTCAAAACTGCTCCGTCAACAGGATTGTTCAACTCTGTGAGTTGAATGCAGTCCTCACAGGAAACATTCTGAGAATGCTTCTGTCTAGGTTTGATGTGAAGATATACCCGTTTCGAAGGAAGGCCACAAAGTGGTGCAAATATCCACTTGCAGATTCTGCAGAAAGAGTGTTTGAACGCTGAACTATGAAAGGAAGGTTCAACCCTGTGAGTTGAATGCAAACATCACAAAGAAGTTTCGGAGAATGCCTCCGATTACTTCTGGGAAGTTTATCCCCTTTCCAACGAAATCCTCAGAGAAGTCCAAATTTACACTTGCAGATTCTACAGAAAGTGTGTTTGGAAACTGCTCCATCAAAACGAATGTTCAGCTCTCTGAGTTAAACTCCATCGTCACAAAGAATTTTCTGAGAGTGCTACTGTCTAGTTCTTATATGAAGTTCTTCCCTTTACTACCATAGGCCTCAAAGCGGTCCAAATGTCCACTTGCAGATTCGACAGAAAGAGTGTTTCCAAACTGCTCTCTCAAAAGGAATGAATGTCCAACTCTGTGAGTTGAATGCTATCATCACAGAGTCGTTTCTGAGAGTGCTTCTATGTAGTTTTTATGAGAAGATATTCCCTTTTCCACCACAGTCCACAAAGCCCTCCAAATGTCCACCTTCAGATTCTAGAAAACGAGCATTTCAAAGTGCTGTATCAGAGGGAAAGTTCGACTCTGTGAGGTGAATGCAAACATCACAAAGAAGTTTCTGAGAATGCTTCGGTTTAGCTTTTATGTGAAGTTTATCCCATTTCCAACGAAATCTTCGAAGAGGTCCAAATATCCACGGGCCGATCCCACAGAAAGAGTGTTTCGAAACTGCTGTTTCAAACGGAATCTTCAACTCTGTGAGTTGAATGCAATCATCACAAAGAAGTTTCTGACAATACTTCTCTCTAGTTCTTATGTGAAGATGTTTCCTTTTCCACCACAGTCCTGGAAGCGCTCCACATGTCCACTTGCAGATTCTACGAAAGGAGGGTCTCAAAACCGCTCTGTGAAAAGCGAGGTTAAACTGTGTGACTCGAACACAAACATCACAAAGAAGTTTGTGAGAATGCTTCAGTTTAGTTTTTCTGTGAAGATATTCCCGTTTCCAAAGAAATCTTCAAAGAAGTCCGCATATCCTTTTACAGATTCTACAAAAAGAGAGTTTCCAAACTGCTCAATCAAATGGAGGGTTCAACTCTGTGACCTGAATGCAATCATCACATAGAAGTTTCTGAGAATGCTTCTCTTGAGTTTTTACGTGAAGGTATAACCGTTTCGAACGAAGGCTTCACAGTGGTCCAAATATCCACCTGCAGATTCTACCAAAAGACTGTCTCAAAGCTGAACTATGAAAGGAATGTTCAACTCTGTGAGTTGTATGCAAACATCACAAAGAAATTTCGGAGAATGCTTCCGTGTAGTTCTGGGAAGTTTATCCCGTTTCCAATGCAATCCTCAGAGAGGTCCGAATATCCACCTGCAGATCCTACAAAAAGTGTGTTTGGAAACTGCTCCATCTAAAGGAATGTTCAGCTCTCTCAGTTAAATACAATCATCGCAAAGAATTTTCTGTGAATGCTTCAGTTTGGTTTTTATGTGAAGTTATTTCCTTTACTTCCGTAGGTCTCAAAGCCATCCAAATCTCCAATTGCAGATTCTACAAAAAGAGTGTTTACAAACTGTTCTATCCATAGGAATGTCCAACCCTGTGAGTCCGATGCAATCATCACAAAGTGGTTTCTGAGAATGCTTCTATCTAGTTTTCATGTGAAGATATTTCCCTTTCCACCGCAGGCCTCAAAGCCCTCCAAATGTCCACTTGCACATTCTAGAAAAAGAGCGTTTCATAGCTGCTCTTTCCAGAGGAAATTTCAATTCCGGAAGTTGATCACAAACATCACAAAGTAGTTTCTGAGAATGCTTCTGTTTAGTTTTTATGTGAAGATGAACCCGTTTCCAACGAAATCTTCAAAGAGGTCCACATATCCACTTGCAGATTCCAAAGAAAGGGAGTTTCGAAACTGCTCCGTCAACAGGATTGTTCAACTCTGTGAGTTGAATGCAGTCCTCACAGGAAACATTCTGAGAATGCTTCTGTCTAGGTTTGATGTGAAGATATACCCGTTTCGAAGGAAGGCCACAAAGTGGTGCAAATATCCACTTGCAGATTCTACAGAAAGAGTGTTTGAAAGCTGAACTTGGAAGGATGGTTCAGCCTGTGAGTTGAATGCAAACATCACAAAGAAGTTTCGGAGAATGCTTCCGATTACTTCTGGGAAGTTTATCCCCTTTCCAACGAAATCCTCGGAGAAGTCCAAATTTCCACTTGCAGATTCTACCAAAAGTGTGTTTGGAGACTGCTCTATCAAAACGAATGTTCAGCTCTCTGAGTTAAACTCCATCGTCACAAAGAATTTTCTGAGAGTGCTACTGTCTAGTTCTTATATGAAGTTCTTCCCGTTACTACCATAGGCCTCACAGCGGTCCAAATCTCCACTTGCAGATTCAACAGAAAGAGTGTTTCCAAACTGCTCTCTCAAAAGGAATGAATGTCCAACTCTGTGAGTTGAATGCTATCATCACAGAGTCGTTTCTGAGAGTGCTTCTATGTAGTTTTTATGAGAAGATATTCCCTTTTCCACCACAGTCCACAAAGCCCTCCAAATGTCCACCTGCAGATTCTAGAAAACGAGCGTTTCAAAGGTGCTGTATCAGAGGGAAAGTTCGACTCTGTGAGGTGAATGCAAACATCACAAAGAAGTTTCTGAGAATGCTTCGGTTTAGCTTTTATGTGAAGTTTATGCCATTTCCAACGAAATCTTCAAAGAGGTCCAAATATCCACTGGCCGATCCCACAGAAAGAGTGTTTCGAAACTGCTGTTTCAAACGGAATCTTCAACTCTGCGAGTTGAATGCAATCATCACAAAGAAGTTTCTGACAATGCTTCTCTCTAGTTCTTATATGAAGATGTTTCCTTTTCCACCACAAGCCTGGAAGCCCTCCACATGTCCACTTGCAGATTCTACGAAAGGAGTGTCTCAAAACCGCTCTGTGAAAAGCGAGGTTAAACTGTGTGACCCGAACACAAACATCACAAAGAAGTTTGCGAGAATGCTTCAGTTTAGTTTTTCTGTGAAGATATTCCCGTTTTCAAAGAAATCTTCAAAGAAGTCCGCATATCCTCTTACAGATTCTACAAAAAGAGAGTTTCCAAACTGCTCAATCAAATGGAGGGTTCAACTCTGTGACCTGAATGCAATCATCACACAGAAGTTTCTGACAATGCTCCTCTTGAGTTTTTACGTGAAGGTGTCCCCGTTTCGAACGAAGGCCTCACAGTGGTCCAAATATCCACCTGCAGAATCTACCAAAAGAGTGTCTCAAAGCTGAACTATGAAAGGAAGGTTCAACTCTGTGAGTTGTATGCAAACATCACAAAGAAGTTTCGGAGAATGCTTCCGTGTAGTTCTGGGAAGTTTATCCCGTTTCCAACGCAATCCTCAGAGAGGTCCGAATATCCACCTGCAGATCCTACAAAAAGTGTGTTTGGAAACTGCTCCATCTAAAGGAATGTTCAGCTCTCTCAGTTAAATACAATCATCGCAAAGAATTTTCTGTGAATGCTTCCATTTGGTTTTTATGTGAAGTTATTTCCTTTACTTCCGTAGGCCTCAAAGCCGTCCAAATCTCCAATTGCAGATTCTACAAAAAGAGTGTTTACAAACTGTTCTATCCATAGGAATGTCCAACTCTGTGAGTCCGATGCAGTCATCCCAAAGTGGTTTCTGAGAATGCTTCTATCTAGGTTTTATGTGAAGATGTTTCCTTTTCCACCACAGGCCTCAAAGCCCTCCAAATGTCCACTTGCAGATTCTAGAAAAAGGGAGTTTCAGAGCAGCTCTGTCAAGAGGAAAGTTCAATTCTTGAAGTGGAACACAAACATCACAAAGGAGTTTCTGAGAATGCTTCTGTTTAGTTTTTATGTGAAGATGAACCCGTTTCCAACGAAATCTTCAAAGAGGTCCACATATCCACTTGCAGATTCCAAAGAAAGGGAGTTTCAAAACTGCTCCATCAACAGGATTGTTCAACTCTGTGAGATGAATGCAGTCCTCACAGGAAACATTCTGAGAATGCTTCTGTCTAGGTTTGATGTGAAGATATACCCGTTTCGAAGGAAGACCACAAAGTGGTGCAAATATCCACTTGCAGATTCTACAGAAAGAGTGTTTGAAAGCTGAACTATGGAAGGATGGTTCAGCCTGTGAGTTGAATGCAAACATCACAAAGAAGTTTCGGAGAATGCTTCCGATTACTTCTGGGAAGATTGTATCCCCTTTCCAACGAAATCCTCGGAGAAGTCCAAATTTCCACTTACAGATTCTACCAAAAGTGTGTTTGGAGACTGCTCCATCAAAACGAATGTTCAGCTCTCTGAGTTAAACTCCATCGTCACAAAGAATTTTCTGAGAGTGCTACTGTCTAGTTCTTATATGAAGTTCTTCCCTTTACTACCATAGGCCTCACAGCGGTCCAAATCTCCACTTGTAGATTCAACAGAAAGAGTGTTTCCAAACTGCTCTCTCAAAAGGAATGAATGTCCAACTCTGTGAGTTGAATGCTATCATCACAGAGTCGTTTCTGAGAGTGCTTCTATGTAGGTTTTATGAGAAGATATTCCCTTTTCCACCACAGTCCACAAAGCCCTCCAAATGTCCACCTGCAGATTCTAGCAAACGAGCGTTTCAAAGGTGCTGTATCAGAGGGAAAGTTCGACTCTGTGAGGTGAATGCAAACATCACAAAGAAGTTTCTGAGAATGCTTCGGTTTAGCTTTTATGTGAAGTTTATCCCATTTCCAACGAAATCTTCGAAGAGGTCCAAATATCCACGGGCCGATCCCACAGAAAGACTGTTTCGAAACTGCTGTTTCAAACGGAATCTTCAACTCTGTGAGTTGAATGCAATCAACACAAAGAAGTTTCTGACAATGCTTCTCTCTAGTTCTTATATGAAGATGTTTCCTTTTCCACCACAGGCCTGGAAGCCCTCCACATGTCCACTTGCAGATTCTACGAAAGGAGTGTCTCAAAACCGCTCTGTGAAAAGCGAGGTTAAACTGTGTGACCCGAACACAAACATCACAAAGAAGTTTGCGAGAATGCTTCAGTTTAGTTTTTCTGTGAAGATATTCCCGTTTCCAAAGAAATCTTCAAAGAAGTCCGCATATCCTCTTACAGATTCTACAAAAAGAGAGTTTCCAAACTGCTCAATCAAATGGAGGGTTCAACTCTGTGACCTGAATGCAATCACCACACAG
This sequence comes from Homo sapiens, assembly GCF_000001405.40. Taxonomy (NCBI): domain Eukaryota; kingdom Metazoa; phylum Chordata; class Mammalia; order Primates; family Hominidae; genus Homo; species Homo sapiens. The sequence continues at coordinate 54,410,077 of NC_000011.10, read as the reverse complement.
AAGTTTCTGAGAATGCTCCTCTTGAGTTTTTACGTGAAGGTGTACCCGTTTCGAACGAAGGCCTCACAGTGGTCCAAATATCCACCTGCAGATTCTACCAAAAGAGTGTCTCAAAGCTGAACTATGAAAGGAAGGTTCAACTCTGTGAGTTGTATGCAAACATCACAAAGAAGTTTCGGAGAATGCTTCCGTGTATTTCTGGGAAGTTTATCCCGTTTCCAACGCAATCCTCAGAGAGGTCCGAATATCCACCTGCAGATCCTACAAAAAGTGTGTTTGGAAACTGCTCCATCTAAAGGAATGTTCAGCTCTCTCAGTTAAATACAATCATCGCAAAGAATTTTCTGTGAATGCTTCCGTTTGGTTTTTATATGAAGTTATATCCTTTACTACCATAGGTCTCAAAGCAGTCCATATCTCCAATTGCAGATTATACAAAAAGAGTGTTTACAAACTGTCCTATCCATAGGAATGCCCAACTCTGTGAGTCCGATGCAATCATCACAAAGTAGTTTCTGAGAATTCTTCTATCTAGTTTTCATGTGAAGATATTTCCCTTTCCACCGCAGGCCTCAAAGCCCTCCAAATGTCCACTTGCACATTCTAGAAAAAGAGCGTTTCATAGCTGCTCTTTCCAGAGGAAAGTTCAATTCCGGAAGTTGAACACAAACATCACAAAGTAGTTTCTGAGAATGCTCCTGTTTAGTTGTTATGTGAAGATGAACCCGTTTCCAACGAACTCTTCAAAGAGGTCCACATATCCACTTGCAGATCCCAAAGAAAGGGAGCTTCAAAACTGCTCCGTCAACAGGATTGTTCAACTCTGTGAGTTGAATGCAGTCATCACAGGAAACCTTCTGAGAATGCTTCTGTCTAGGTTTGATGTGAAGATATACCCGTTTCGAAGGAAGGCCACAAAGTGGTGCAAATATCCACTTGCAGATTCTACAGAAAGAGTGTTTGAAAGCTGAACTATGAAAGGAATGTTCAACCCTGTGAGTTGAATGCAAACATCACAAAGAAGTTTCGGAGAATGCTTCCGATTACTTCTGGGAAGTTTATCCCCTTTCCAACGAAATCCTCAGAGAAGTCCAAATTTCCACTTGCAGATTCTACCAAAAGTGTGTTTGGAAACTGCTCCATCAAAACGAATGCTCAGCTCTCTGTGTTAAACTCCATCGTCACAAAGAATTTTCTGAGAGTGCTACTGTCTAGTTCTTATATGAAGTTCTTCCCTTTACTACCATAGGCCTCAAAGTGGTCCAAATCTCCACTTGCAGATTCGACAGAAAGAGTGTTTCCAAACTGCTCTCTCAAAAGGAATGAATGTCCAACTCTGTGAGTTGAATGCTATCATCACAGAGTCGTTTCTGAGAGTGCTTCTATGTAGTTTTTATGAGAAGATATTCACTTTTCCACCACAGTCCACAAAGCCCTCCCAATGTCCACCTGCAGATTCTAGCAAACGAGCGTTTCAAAGGTGCTGTATCAGAGGGAAAGTTCGACTCTGTGAGGTGAATGCAAACATCACAAAGAAGTTTCTGAGAATGCTTCGGTTTAGCTTTTATGTGAAGTTTATCCCATTTCCAAAGAAATCTTCGAAGAGGTCCAAATATCCACGGGCCGATCCCACAGAAAGACTGTTTCGAAACTGCTGTTTCAAACGGAATCTTCAACTCTGTGAGTTGAATGCAATCACCACAAAGAAGTTTCTGACAATGCTTCTCTCTAGTTCTTATGTGAAGATGTTTCCTTTTCCACCACAGGCCTGGAAGCGCTCCACATGTCCAATTGCAGATACTACAAAAGCAGTGTCTCAAAACCGCTCTGTGAAAAGCGAGGTTAAACTGTGTGACCCGAACACAAACATCACAAAGAAGTTTGCGAGAATGCTTCAGTTTAGTTTTTCTTTGAAGATATTCCCGTTTCCAAAGAAGTCTTCAAAGAAGTCCGCATATCCACTTACAGATTCTACAAAAAGAGAGTTTCCAAACTGCTCAATCAAATGGAGGGTTCAACTCTGTGACCTGAATGCAATCATCACACAGAAGTTTCTGAGAATGCTTGTCTTGAGTTTTTACGTGAAGGTGTACCCGTTTCGAACGAAGGCCTCACAGTGGTCCAAATATCCACCTGCAGATTCTACCAAAAGAGTGTCTCAAAGCTGAACTATGAAAGGAAGGTCCAACTCTGTGAGTTGTATGCAAACATCACAAAGAAGTTTCGGAGCATGCTTCCGTGTATTTCTGGGAATTTATCCCGTTTCCAACGCAATCCTCAGAGAGGTCCGAATTTCCACCTGCAGATCCTACAAAAAGTGTGTTTGGAAACTGCTCTATGTAAAGGAATGTTCACCTCTCTCAGTTAAATACAATCATCGCAAAGAATTTTCTGTGATTGCTTCCGTTTGGTTTTTATGTGAAATTATTTCCTTTACTTCCGTAGGCCTCAAAGCCGTCCAAATCTCCGATTGCGGATTCTACAAAAAGAGTGTTTACAAACTGTTCTACCCATAGGAATGTCCAACTCTGTGAGTCCGATGCAATCATCAAAAAGTGGTTTCTGAGAACGCTTCTATCTAGTTTTCATGTGAAGATATTTCCCTTTCCACCGCAGGCCTCAAAGCCCTCCAAATGTCCACTTGCACATTCTAGAAAAAGAGCGTTTCATAGCTGCTCTTTCCAGAGGAAAGTTCAATTCCGGAAGTTGAACACAAACATCACAAAGTAGTTTCTGAGAATGCTTCTGTTTAGTTTTTATGTGAAGATGAACCCGTTTCCAACGAAATCTTCAAAGAGGTCCACAAATCCACTTGCAGATTCCAAAGAAAGGGAGTTTCAAAACTGCTCCGTCAACACGATTGTTCAACTCTGTGAGTTGAATGCAGTCCTCACAGGAAACATTCTGAGAATGCTTCTGTCTAGGTTTGATGTGAAGATATACCCGTTTCGAAGGAAGGCCACAAAGTGGTGCAAATATCCACTTGCAGATTCTGTAGAAAGAGTGTTTGAACGCTGAACTATGAAAGGAAGGTTCAACCCTGTGAGTTGAATGCAAACATCACAAAGAAGTTTCGGAGAATGCCTCCGATTACTTCTGGGAAGTTGATCCCCTTTCCAACGAAATCCTCGGAGAAGTCCAAATTTCCACTTGCAGATTCTACCAAAAGTGTGTTTGGAGACTGCTCCATCAAAACGAATGTTCAGCTCTCTGAGTTAAACTCCATCGTCACAAAGAATTTTCTGAGAGTGCTACTGTCTAGTTCTTATATGAAGTTCTTCCCTTTACTACCATAGGCCTCAAAGCAGTCCAAATCTCCACTTGCAGATTCGACAGAAAGAGTGATTCCAAACTGCTCTCTCAAAAGGAATGAATGTCCAACTCTGTGAGTTGAATGCTATCATCACAGAGTCGTTTCTGAGAGTGCTTCTATGTCGTTTTTATGAGAAGATATTTCCTTTTCCACCACAGTCCACAAAGCCCTCCAAATGTCCACCTGCAGATTCTAGAAAACGAGCGTTTCAAAGGTGCTGTATCAGAGAGAAAGTTCGACTCTGTGAGGTGAATGCAAACATCACCAAGAAGTTTCTGAGAATGCTTCGGTTTAGCTTTTATGTGAAGTTTATGCCATTTCCAACGAAATCTTCAAAGAGGTCCAAATATCCACTGGCCGATCCCACAGAAAGAGTGTTTCGAAACTGCTGTTTCAAACGGAATCTTCAACTCTGCGAGTTGAATGCAATCATCACAAAGACGTTTCTGACAATGCTTCTGTCTAGTTTTTATGTGAAGATGTTTCCTTTTCCACCACAGGCCTGGAAGCGCTCCACATGTCCAGTTGCAGATTCTACGAAAGGAGTGTTTCAAAACTGCTCTATGAAAAGCAAGGTTAAACTGTGTGACTCGAACACAAACATCACAAAGAAGTTTGTGAGAATGCTTCAGTTTAGTTTTTCTGTTAAGATATTCCCGTTTCCAAAGAAATCTTCAAAGACGTCCACATATCCTCTTACAGATTCTACAAAAAGAGAGTTTCCAAGCTGCTCAATGAAATGGAGGGTTCAACTCTGTGACTTGAATGCAATCATCACACAGAAGTTTCTAAGAATGCTTCTCTTGAGTTTTTACGGGAAGATATACCCGTTTCGAACGAAGGCCTCACAGTGGTCCAAATATCCACCTGCAGATTCTACCAAAAGACTGTCTCAAAGCTGAACTATGAAAGGAACGTTCAACTCTGTGAGTTGTATGCAAACATCACAAAGAAGTTTCGGAGAATGCTTCCGTGTAGTTCTGGGAAGTTTATCCCGTTTCCAATGCAATCCTCAGAGAGGACCGAATATCCACCTGCAGATCCTACAAAAAGTGTGTTTGGAAACTGCTCCATCTAAAGGAATGTTCAGCTCTCTCAGTTAAATACAATCATTGCAAAGAATATTCTGTGAATGCTTCCGTTTGGTGTTTATATGAAGTTATTTCCTTTACTACCGTAGGTCTCAAAGCAGTCCAAATCTCCAATTTCAGATTCTACAAAAAGAGTGTTTACAAACTGTCCTATCCATAGGAATGCCCAACTCTGTGAGTCTGATGCAATCATCACAAAGTAGTTTCTGAGAATGCTTCTATCTAGTTTTCATGTGAAGATATTTCCCTTTCCACCGCAGGCCTCAAAGCCCTCCAAATGTCCACTTGCACATTCTAGAAAAAGAGCGTTTCGTAGCTGCTCTTTCCAGAGGAAAGTTCAATTCTGGAAGTTGAACACAAACATCACAAAGTAGTTTCTGAGAATGCTTCTGTTTAGTTTTTATGTGAAGATGAACCCGTTTCCAACGAAATCTTCAAAGAGGTCCACATATCCACTTGCAGATTCCAAAGAAAGGGAGTTTCAAAACTGCTCCATCAACAGGATTGTTCAACTCTGTGAGTTGAATGCAGTCCTCACAGGAAACATTCTGAGAATGCTTCTGTCTAGGTTTGATGTGAAGATATACCCGTTTCGAAGGAAGGCCACAAAGTGGTGCAAATATCCACTTGCAGATTCTACAGAAAGAGTGTTTGAAAGCTGAACTATGAAACGAAGGTTCAGCCTGTGAGTTGAATGCAAACATCACAAAGAAGTTTCGGAGAATGCTTCCGATTACTTCTGGGAAGTTTATCCCCTTTCCAACGAAATCCTCAGAGAAGTCCAAATTTACACTTGCAGATTCTACCAAAAGTGTGTTTGGAAACTGCTCCATCAAAACGAATGTTCAGCTCTCTGAGTTAAACTCCATCGTCACAAAGAATTTTCTGAGAGTGCTACTGTCTAGTTCTTATATGAAGTTCTTCCCTTTACTACCATAGGCCTCAAAGCGGTCCAAATCTCCACTTGCAGATTCGACAGAAAGAGTGTTTCCAAACTGCTCTCTCAAAAGGAATGAATGTCCAACTCTGTGAGTTGAATGCTATCATCACAGAGTCGTTTCTGAGAGTGCTTCTATGTAGTTTTTATGAGAAGATATTCCCTTTTCCACCACAGTCCACAAAGCCCTCCAAATGTCCACCTGCAGATTCTAGAAAACGAGCGTTTCAAAGGTGCTGTATCAGAGGGAAAGTTCGACTACTGTGAGGTGAATGCAAACATCACAAAGAAGTTTCTGAGAATGCTTCGGTTTAGCTTTTATGTGAAGTTTATCCCATTTCCAATGAAATCTTCGAAGAGGTCCAAATATCCACGGGCCGATCCCACAGAAAGACTGTTTCGAAACTGCTGTTTCAAACGGAATCTTCAACTCTGTGAGTTGAATGCAATCACCACAAAGATGTTTCTGACAATGCTTCTCTCTAGTTCTTATGTGAAGATGTTTCCTTTTCCACCACAGGCCTGGAAGCGCTCCACATGTCCACTTGCAGATTCTACGAAAGGAGTGTCTCAAAACCGCTCTGTGAAAAGCGAGGTTAAACTGTGTGACCCGAACACAAACATCACAAAGAAGTTTGCGAGAATGCTTCAGTTTAGTTTTTCTGTGAAGATATTCCCGTTTCCAAAGAAATCTTCAAAGAAGTCCGCATATCCTCTTACAGATTCTACAAAAAGAGAGTTTCCAAACTGCTCAATCAAATGGAGGGTTCAACTCTGTGACCTGAATGCAATCACCACACAGAAGTTTCTGAGAATGCTTCTCTTGAGTTGTTACGTGAAGATATACCCTTTTCGAATGAAGGCCTCACAGTGGTCCAAATATCCAGCTGCAGATTCTACAAAAAGAGTGTCTCAAAGCTGAACTACGAAAGGAAGGTTCAACTCTGTGAGTTGTATGCAAACATCACCAAGAAGTTTGGGAGAATGCATCCGTGTAGTTCTGGGAAGTTTATCCCGTTTCCAATGCAATCCTCAGAGAGGTCCGAATATCCACCTGCAGATCCTACAAAAAGTGTTTTTGGAAACTGCTCCATCTAACGGAATGTTCAGCTCTCTCAGTTAAATACAATCATCGCAAAGAATTTTCTGTGAATGCTTCCGTTTGGTTTTTATGTGAAGTTATTTCCTTTACTTCCGTAGGCCTCAAAGCCGTCCAAATCTCCAATTGCAGATTCTACAAAAAGAGTGTTTACAAACTGTTCTATCCATAGGAATGTCCAAATCTGTGAGTCCGATGCAATCATCACAAAGTGGTTTCTGAGAATGCTTCTATCTAGTTTTCATGTGAAGATATTTCCCTTTCCACCGCAGGCCTCAAAGCCCTCCAAATGTCCACTTGCACATTCTAGAAAAAGAGCGTTTCATAGCTGCTCTTTCCAGAGGAAAGTTCAATTCCGGAAGTTGAACACAAACATCACAAAATAGTTTCTGAGAATGCTTCTGTTTAGTTTTTATGTGAAGATGAACCCGTTTCCAACGAAAACTTCAAAACGGTCCACATATCCACTTGCAGATTCCAAAGAAAGGGAGTTTCAAAACTGCTCCACCAACAGGATTGTTCAACTCTGTGAGTTGAATGTAGTCCTCACAGGAAACATTCTGAGAATGCTTCTGTCTAGGTTTGATGTGAAGATATACCCGTTTCGAAGGAAGGCCACAAAGTGGTCCAAATATCCACTTGCAGATTCTACAAAAAGAGTGTTTGAAAGCTGAACTATGAAAGCAAGGTTCAACTCTGTGAGTTGAATGCAAACATCAAAAAGAAGTTTCTCAGAATGCTTCCGATTACTTCTGGGAAGTTTATCCCCTTTCCAACGAAATCCTCGGAGAAGTCCAAATTTCCACTTGCAGATTCTACCAAAAGTGTGTTTGGAGACTGCTCCATCAAAACGAATGTTCAGCTCTCTGAGTTAAACTCCATCGTCACAAAGAATTTTCTGAGAGTGCTACTGTCTAGTTCTTATATGAAGTTCTTCCCTTTACTACCATAGGCCTCAAAGCCGTCCAAATCTCCACTTGCAGATTCGACAGAAAGAGTGTTTCCAAACTGCTCTCTCAAAAGGAATGAATGTCCAACTCTGTGAGTTGAATGCTATCATCACAGAGTCGTTTCTGAGAGTGCTTCTATGTAGTTTTTATGAGAAGATATTCCCTTTTCCACCACAGTCCACAAAGCCCTCCCAATGTCCACCTGCAGATTCTAGAAAACGAGCGTTTCAAAGGTGCTGTATCAGAGGGAAAGTTCGACTCTGTGAGGTGAATGCAAACATCACAAAGAAGTTTCTGAGAATGCTTCGGTTTAGCTTTTATGTGAAGTTTATCCCATTTCCAACAAAATCTTCGAAGAGGTCCAAATATCCACTGGCCGATCCCACAGAAAGAGTGTCTCGAAACTGCTGTTTCAAACGGAATCTTCAACTCTGTGAGTTGAATGCAATCATCACAAAGACGTTTCTGATAATACTTCTCTCTAGTTCTTATGTGAAGATGTTTCCTTTTCCACCACAGGCCTGGAAGCGCTCCACATGTCCACTTGCAGATTCTACGAAAGGAGTGTCTCAAAACCGCTCTGTGAAAAGCGAGGTTAAACTGTGTGACTCGAACACAAACATCACAAAGAAGTTTGTGAGAATGCTTCAGTTTAGTTTTTCTGTGAAGATATTCCCGTTTCCAAAGAAATCTTCAAAGAAGTCCGCATATCCTCTTACAGATTCTACAAAAAGAGAGTTTCCAAACTGCTCAATCAAATGGAGGGTTCAACTCTGTGACCTGAATGCAATCACCACACAGAAGTTTCTGAGAATGCTCCTCTTGAGTTTTTACGTGAAGGTGTACCCGTTTCGAACGAAGGCCTCACAGTGGTCCAAATATCCACCTGCAGATTCTACCAAAAGAGTGTCTCAAAGCTGAACTATGAAAGGAAGGTTCAACTCTGTGAGTTGTATGCAAACATCACAAAGAAGTTTCGGAGCATGCTTCCGTGTAGTTCTGGGAAGTTTATCCCGTTTCCAATGCAATCCTCAGAGAGGTCCGAATATCCACCTGCAGATCCTACAAAAAGTGTGTTTGGAAACTGCTCCATCTAAAGGAATGTTCAGCTCTCTCAGTTAAATACAATCATCGCAAAGAATTTTCTGTGAATGCTTCCGTTTGGTTTTTATGTGAAGTTATTTCCTTTACTTCCGTAGGCCTCAAAGCCGTCCAAATCTCCAATTGCAGATTCTACAAAAAGAGTGTTTACAAACTGTTCTATCCATAGGAATGCCCAACTCTGTGAGTCCGATGCAATCATCACAAAGTGGTTTCTGAGAATGCTTCTATCTAGTTTTCATGTGAAGATATTTCCCTTTCCACCGCAGGCCTCAAAGCCCTCCAAATGTCCACTTGCACATTCTAGAAAAAGAGCATTTCATAGCTGCTCTTTCCAGAGGAAAGTTCAATTCCGGAAGTTGAACACAAATATCACAAAGTATTTTCTGAGAATGCTTCTGTTTAGTTTTTATGTGAAGATGAACCCGTTTCCAACGAAATCTTCAAAGAGGTCCACATATCCACTTGCAGATTCCAAAGAAAGGGAGTTTCAAAACTGCTCCATCAACAGGATTGTTCAACTCTGTGAGATGAATGCAGTCCTCACAGGAAACATTCTGAGAATGCTTCTGTCTAGGTTTGATGTGAAGATATACCCGTTTCGAAGGAAGGCCACAAAATGGTCCAAATATCCACTTGCAGATTCTACAGAAAGAGTGTTTGAAAGCTGAACTATGAAAGGAAGGTTCAACCCCGTGAGTTGAATGCAAACATCACAAAGAAGTTTCGGAGAATGCTTCCGATTTCTTCTGGGAAGTTTATCCCCTTTCCAACGAAATCCTTAGAGAAGTCCAAATTTACACTTGCAGATTCTACCAAAAGTGTGTTTGGAAACTGCTCCATCAAAACGAATGTTCAGCTCTCTGAGTTAAACTCCATCGTCACAAAGAATTTTCTGAGAGTGCTACTGTCTAGTTCTTATATGAAGTTCTTCCCTTTACTACCATAGGCCTCAAAGCGGTCCAAATGTCCACTTGCAGATTCGACAGAAAGAGTGTTTCCAAACTGCTCTCTCAAAAGGAATGAATGTCCAACTCTGTGAGTTGAATGCTATCATCACAGAGTCGTTTCTGAGAGTGCTTCTATGTAGTTTTTATGAGAAGATATTCCCTTTTCCACCACAGTCCACAAAGCCCTCCAAATGTCCACCTGCAGATTCTAGAAAACGAGCGTTTCAAAGGTGCTGTATCAGAGGGAAAGTTCGACTCTGTGAGGTGAATGCAAACATCACGAAGAAGTTTCTGAGAATGCTTCGGTTTAGCTTTTATGTGAAGTTTATCCCATTTCCAACGAAATCTTCAAAGAGGTCCAAATATCCACTTGCCGATCCCACAGAAAGACTGTTTCGAACCTGCTGTTTCAAACGGAATCTTGAACTCTGTGAGTTCAATGCAATCATCACAAAGAAGTTTCTGACAATGCTTCTCTCTAGTTCTTATGTGAAGATGTTTCCTTTTCCACCACAGGCCTGGAAGCGCTCCACATGTCCACTTGCAGATTCTACGAAAGGAGTGTCTCAAAACCGCTCTGTGAAAAGCGAGGTTAAACTGTGTGACCCGAACACAAACATCACAAAGAAGTTTGCGAGAATGCTTCAGTTTAGTTTTTCTGTGAAGATATTCCCGTTTCCAAAGAAATCTTCAAAGAAGTCCGCATATCCTCTTACAGATTCTACAAAAAGAGAGTTTCCAAACTGCTCAATCAAATGGAGGGTTCAACTCTGTGACCTGAATGCAATCATCACACAGAAGTTTCTGAGAATGCTTCTCTTGAGTTTTTACGTGAAGGTATACCCGTTTCGAACGAAGGCCTCACAGTGGTCCAAATATCCACCTGCAGATTCTACCAAAAGACTGTCTCAAAGCTGAACTATGAAAGGAACGTTCAACTCTGTGAGTTGTATGCAAACATCACAAAGAAGTTTCGGAGAATGCTTCCGTGTAGTTCTGGGAAGTTTATCCCGTTTCCAACGCAATCCTCAGAGAGGTCCGAATATCCACCTGCAGATCCTACAAAAAGTGTGTTTGGAAACTGCTCCATCTAAAGGAATGTTCAGCTCTCTCAGTTAAATACAATCATCGCAAAGAATTTTCTGTGAATGCTTCCGTTTGGTTTTTATATGAAGTTATTTCCTTTACTACCGTAGGTTTCAAAGCAGTCCAAAGCTCCAATTGCAGATTCCACAAAAAGAGTGTTTACAAACTGTCCTATCCATAGGAATGCCCAACTCTGTGAGTCCGATGCAATCATCACAAAGTAGTTTCTGAGAATGCTTCTATCTAGTTATTATATGCAGATATTTACGTTTCCGCCAAAGGCCCCAAAACCCTCCAAATGTCCACTTGCAGATTCTGGAAAAACAATGTTTCATAGCTGCTCTGTCAAGAGGAAAGGTCAACTCTGCAAGTTGAACACAAACATCACAAAGTTGTTTCTGAGAATGCTTCTGTTTAGTTTTTATATGAAGATGAACCCGTTTCCAATGAAATCTTCAAAGAGGTCCACATATCCACATGCAGATTCCAAAGAAAGGGAGTTTCAAAACTGCTCCGTCAACAGGATTGTTCAACTCTGTGAGTTGAATGCAGTCCTCACAGGAAACATTCTGAGAATGCTTCTGTCTAGGTTTGATGTGAAGATATACACGTTTCGAATGAAGGCCACAAAGTGGTCCAAATATCCACTTGCAGATTCTACAGAAAGAGTGTTTGAAAGCTGAACTATGAAAGGAAAGTTCAACCCCGTGAGTTGAATGCAAACATCACAAAGAATTTTCGGAGAATGCTTCCGATTACTTCTGGGAAGTTTATCCCCTTTCCAACGAAATCCTTAGAGAAGTCCAAATTTACACTTGCAGATTCTACCAAAAGTGTGTTTGGAAACTGCTCCATGAAAACGAATGTTCAGCTCTCTGAGTTAAACTCCATCGTCACAAAGAATTTTCTGAGAGTGCTACTGTCTAGTTCTTATATGAAGTTCTTCCCTTTACTACCATAGGCCTCAAAGCGGTCCAAATGTCCACTTGCAGATTCGACAGAAAGAGTGTTTCCAAACTGCTCTCTCAAAAGGAATGAATGTCCAACTCTGTGAGTTGAATGCTATCATCACAGAGTCGTTTCTGAGAGTGCTTCTATGTAGTTTTTATGAGAAGATATTCCCTTTTCCACCACAGTCCACAAAGCCCTCCAAATGCCCACCTGCAGATTCTAGCAAACGAGCATTTCAAAGGTGCTGTATCAGAGGGAAAGTTCGACTCTGTGAGGTGAATGCAAACATCACAAAGAAGTTTCTGAGAATGCTTCGGTTTAGCTTTTATGTGAAGTTTATCCCATTTCCAACGAAATCTTCGAAGAGTTCCAAATATCCACTGGCCGATCCCACAGAAAGAGTGTCTCGAAACTGCTGTTTCAAACGGGATCTTCAACTCTGTGAGTTGAATGCAATCATCACAAAGACGTTTCTGACAATGCTTCTCTCTAGTTCTTATGTGAAGATGTTTCCTTTTCCACCACAGGCCTGGAAGCGCTCCACATGTCCACTTGCAGATTCTACAAAAGGAGTGTCTCAAAACCGCTCTGTGAAAAGCGAGGTTAAACTGTGTGACCCGAACACAAACATCACAAAGAAGTTTGCGAGAATGCTTCAGTTTAGATTTTCTGTGAAGATATTCCCGTTTCCAAAGAAATCTTCAAAGAAGTCCGCATATCCTCTTACAGATTCTACAAAAAGAGAGTTTCCAAACTGCTCAATCAAATGGAGGGTTGAACTCTGTGACCTGAATGCAATCATCACACAGAAGTTTCTGAGAATGCTTCTCTTGAGTTTTTACGTGAAGGTATACCCGTTTCGAACGAAGGCCTCACAGTGGTCCAAATATCCACCTGCAGATTCTACCACAAGACTGTCTCAAAGCTGAACTATGAAAGGAAGGTTCAACTCTGTGAGTTGTATGCAAACATCACAAAGAAGTTTCGGAGAATGCTTCCGTGTAGTTCTGGGAAGTTTATCCCGTTTCCAACGCAATCCTCAGAGAGGTCCGAATATCCACCTGTAGATCCTACAAAAAGTGTGTTTGGAAACTGCTCCATCTAAAGGAATGTTCAGCTCTCTCAGTTAAATACAATCATCACAAAGAATTTTCTGTGAATGCTTCCGTTTGGTTTTTATGTGAAGTTATTTCCTTTACTTCCGTAGGCTTCAAAGCCGTCCAAATCTCCAATTGCAGATTCTACAAAAAGAGTGTTTACAAACTGTTCTATCCATAGGAATGCCCAACTCTGTGAGTCCGATGCAATCATCACAAAGTGGTTTCTGAGAATGCTTCTATCTAGTTTTCATGTGAAGATATTTCCCTTTCCACCGCAGGCCTCAAAGCCCTCCAAATGTCCACTTGCACATTCTAGAAAAAGAGCGTTTCATAGCTGCTCTTTCCAGAGGAAAGTTCAATTCCGGAAGTTGATCACAAACATCACAAAGTAGTTTCTGAGAATGCTTCTGTTTAGTTTTTATGTGAAGATGAACCCGTTTCCAACGAAATCTTCAAAGAGGTCCACATATCCACTTGCAGATTCGAAAGAAAGGGAGTTTCAAAACTGCTCCGTCAACAGGATTTTTCAACTCTGTGAGTTGAATGCAGTCCTCACAGGAAACATTCTGAGAATGCTTCTGTCTAGGTTTGATGTGAAGATATACCCGTTTCGAAGGAAGGCCACAAAGTGGTGCAAATATCCACTTGCAGATTCTACAGAAAGAGTGTTTGAAAGCTGAACTATGAAAGGAAGATTCAACCCTGTGAGTTGAATGCAAACATCACAAAGAAGTTTTGGAGAATGCTTCCGATTACTTCTGTGAAGTTTATCCCGTTTCCAACGAAATCCTCAGAGAAGTCCAAATTTCCACTTGCAGATTCTACAAAAAGTGTGTTTGGAAACTGCTCCATCAAAACGAATGTTCAGCTCTCTGAGTTAAACTCAATCGTCACAAAGAATTTTCTGAGAGTCCTACTGTCTAGTTCTTATATGAAGTTCTTCCCTTTACTACCATAGGCCTCAAAGCGGTCCAAATCTCCACTTGCAGATTCGACAGAAAGAGTGTTTCCAAACTGCTCTCTCAAAAGGAATGAATGTCCAACTGTGTCAGTTGAGTGCTATCATCTCAGAGTCGTTTCTGAGAGTGCTTCTATGTAGTTTTTATGAGAAGATATTCCCTTTTCCACCACAGTCCACAAAGCGCTCCAAATGTCCACCTGCAGATTCTAGAAAACGAGCGTTTCAAAGGTGCTGTGTCAGAGGGAAAGTTCGACTCTGTGAGGTGAATGCAAACATCACAAAGAAGTTTCTGAGAATGCTTCGGTTTAGCTTTTATGTGAAGTTTATCCCATTTCCAACGAAATCTTCAAAGAGGTCCAAATATCCACTGGCCGATCCCACAGAAAGAGTGTTTCGAAACTGCTGTTTCAAACGGAATCTTCAACTCTGTGAGTTGAATGCAATCATCACAAAGAAGTTTCTGACAATGCTTCTCTCTAGTTCTTATGTGAAGACGTTTCCTTTTCCACCACAGGCCTGGAAGCACTCCATATGTCCACTTGCAGATTCTACGAAAGGAGTGTCTCAAAACCGCTCTGTGAAAAGCGAGGTTAAACTGTGTGACTCGAACACAAACATCACAAAGAAGTTTGTGAGAATGCTTCAGTTTAGTTTTTCTTTGAAGATATTCCCGTTTCCAAAGAAGTCTTCAAAGAAGTCCGCATATCCACTTACAGATTCTACAAAAAGAGAGTTTCCAAACTGCTCAATCAAATGGAGGGTTCAACTCTGTGACCTGAATGCAATCATCACACAGAAGTTTCTGAGAATGCTTGTCTTGAGTTTTTACGTGAAGGTGTACCCGTTTCGAACGAAGGCCTCACAGTGGTCCAAATATCCACCTGCAGATTCTACCAAAAGAGTGTCTCAAAGCTGAACTATGAAAGGAAGGTCCAACTCTGTGAGTTGTATGCAAACATCACAAAGAAGTTTCGGAGCATGCTTCCGTGTAGTTCTGGGAAGTTTATCCCGTTTCCAACGCAATCCTCAGAGAGGTCCGAATATCCACCTGCAGATCCTACAAAAAGTGTGTTTGGACACTGCTCCATCTAAAGGAATGTTCAGCTCTCTCAGTTAAATACAATCATCGCAAAGAATTTTCTGTGAATGCTTCCGTTTGTTTTTATGTGAAGTTATTTCCTTTACTTCCGTAGGCCTCAAAGCCGTCCAAATCTCCAATTGCAGATTCTACAAAAAGAGTGTTTACAAACTGTTCTATCCATAGGAATGTCCAACTCTGTGAGTCCGATGCAATCATCACAAAGTGGTTTCTGAGAATGCTTCTATCTAGTTTTCATGTGAAGATATTTCCCTTTCCACCGCAGGCCTCAAAGCCCTCCAAATGTCCACTTGCACATTCTAGAAAAAGAGCATTTCATAGCTGCTCTTTCCAGAGGAAAGTTCAATTCCGGAAGTTGAACACAAACATCACAAAGTAGTTTCTGAGAATGCTTCTGTTTAGTTTTTATGTGAAGATGAACCCGTTTCCAACGAAATCTTCAAAGAGGTAAACATATCCACTTGCAGATTCCAAAGAAAGGGAGTTTCAAAACTGCTCCATCAACAGGATTGTTCAACTCTGTGAGTTGAATGCAGTCCTCACAGGAAACATTCTGAGAATGCTTCTGTCTAGGTTTGATGTGAAGATATACCCGTTTCGAAGGAAGGCCACAAAGTGGTGCAAATATCCACTTGCAGATTCTACAGAAAGAGTGTTTGAAAGCTGAACTATGGAAGGATGGTTCAGCCTGTGAGTTGAATGCAAACATCACAAAGAAGTTTCGGAGAATGCTCTTCCGATTACTTCTGGGAAGTTTATCCCCTTTAAAACGAAATCCTTAGAGAAGTCCAAATTTACACTTGCAAATTCTACCAAAAGTGTGTTTGGAAACTGCTCCATCAAAACGAATGTTCAGCTCTCTGAGTTAAACTCCATCGTCACAAAGAATTTTCTGAGAGTGCTACTGTCTAGTTCTTATATGAAGTTCTTCCCTTTACTACCATAGGCCTGAAAGCGGTCCAAATCTCCACTTGCAGATTCGACAGAAAGAGTGTTTCCAAACTGCTCTCTCAAAAAGAATGAATGTCCAAATCTCTGAGTTGAATGCTATCATCACAGAGTCGTTTCTGAGAGTGCTTCTATGTAGTTTTTATGAGAAGATATTCCCTTTTCCACCACAGTCCACAAAGCCCTCCAAATGCCCACCTGCAGATTCTAGCAAACGAGCGTTTCAAAGGTGCTGTATCAGAGGGAAAGTTCGACTCTGTGAGGTGAATGCAAACATCACAAAGAAGTTTCTGAGAATGCTTTGGTTTAGCTTTTATGTGAAGTTTATCCCATTTCCAACGAAATCTTCGAAGAGGTCCAAATATCCACTGGCCGATCCCACAGAAAGAGTGTTTTGAAACTGCTGTTTCATACAGGATCTTCAACTCTGTGAGTTGAATGCAATCATCACAAAGACCTTTCTGACAATGCTTCTCTCTAGTTCTTATGTGAAGATGTTTCCTTTTCCACCACAGGCCTGGAAGCGCTCCACATGTCCACTTGCAGATTCTACGAAAGGAGTGTCTCAAAACCGCTCTGTGAAAAGCGAGGTTAAACTGGGTGACCCGAACACAAACATCACAAAGAAGTTTGCGAGAATGCTTCAGTTTAGTTTTTCTGTGAAGATATTCCCGTTTCCAAAGAAATCTTCAAAGAAGTCCGCATATCCTCTTACAGATTCTACAAAAAGAGAGTTTCCAAACTGCTCAATCAAATGGAGGGTTCAACTCTGTGACCTGAATGCAATCACCACACAGAAGTTTCTGAGAATGCTCCTCTTGAGTTTTTAAGTGAAGGTGTACCCGTTTCGAACGAAGGCCTCACAGTGGTCCAAATATCCACCTGCAGATTCTACCAAAAGAGTGTCTCAAAGCTGAAGTATGAAAGGAAGGTTCAACTCTGTGAGTTGTATGCAAACATCACAAAGAAGTTTCGGAGAATGCTTCCGTGTAGTTCTGGGAAGTTTATCCCGTTTCCAACGCAATCCTCACAGAGGTCCGAATATCCACCTGCAGATCCTACAAAAAGTGTGTTTGGAAACTGCTCCATCTAAAGGAATGTTCAGCTCTCTCAGTTAAATACAATCATCGCAAAGAATTTTCTGTGAATGCTTCCGTTTGGTTTTTATGTGAAGTTATTTCCTTTACTTCCGTAGGTCTCAAAGCCGTCCAAATCTCCAATTGCAGATTCTACAAAAAGAGTGTTTACAAACTGTTCTATCCATAGGAATGTCCAACTCTGTGAGTCCGATGCAGTCATCCCAAAGTGGTTTCTGAGAATGCTTCTATCTAGTTTTCATGTGAAGATATTTCCCTTTCCACCGCAGGCCTCAAAGCCCTCCAAATGTCCACTTGCACATTCTAGAAAAAGAGCGTTTCATAGCTGCTCTTTCCAGAGGAAAGTTCAATTCCGGAAGTTGAACACAAACATCACAAAGTAGTTTCTGAGAATGCTTCTGTTTAGTTTTTATGTGAAGATGAACCCGTTTCCAACGAAATCTTCAAAGAGGTCCACATATCCACATGCAGATTCCAAAGAAAGGGAGTTTCAAAACTGCTCCGTCAACAAGATTGTTCAACTCTGTGAGTTGAATGCAGTCCTCACAGGAAACATTCTGAGAATGCTTCTGTCTAGGTTTGATGTGAAGATATACCCGTTTCGAAGGAAGGCCACAAAGTGGTCCAAATATCCACTTGCAGATTCTACAAAAAGAGTGTTTGAAAGCTGAACTATGAAAGCAAGGTTCAACTCTGTGAGTTGAATGCAAACATCACAAAGAAGTTTCTCAGAATGCTTCCGATTACTTCTGGGAAGTTTATCCCCTTTCCAACGAAATCCTCAGAGAAGTCCAAATTTCCACTTGCAGATTCTACCAAAAGTGTGTTTGGAAACTGCTCCATCAAAACGAATGTTCAGCTCTCTGAGTTAAACTCCATCGTCACAAAGAATTTTCTGAGAGTGCTACTGTCTAGTTCTTATATGAAGTTCTTCCCTTTACTACCATAGGCCTCAAAGCGGTCCAAATCTCCACTTGCAGATTCGACAGAAAGAGTGTTTCCAAACTGCTCTCTCAAAAGGAATGAATGTCCAACTCTGTGAGTTGAATGCTATCATCACAGAGTCGTTTCTGAGAGTGCTTCTATGTCGTTTTTATGAGAAGATATTTCCTTTTCCACCACAGTCCACAAAGCCCTCCAAATGTCCACCTGCAGATTCTAGAAAACGAGCATTTCAAAGGTGCTGTATCAGAGGGAATGTTCGTCTCTGTGAGGTGAATGCAAACATCTCAAAGAAGTTTCTGAGAATGCTTCGGTTTAGCTTTTATGTGAAGTTTACCCCATTTCCAACGAAATCTTCAAAGAGGTCCAAATATCCACTTGCGGATCCCACAGAAAGGGTGTTTCGAAACTGCTGTTTCAAAAGGAATCTTCAACTCTGTGAGTTGAATGCAGTCATCACAAAGAAGTTTCTGACAATGCTTCTCTCTAGTTCTTATGTGAAGATGTTTCCTTTTCCACCACAGGCCTGGAAGCGCTCCACATGTCCACTTGCAGATTCTACGAAAGGAGTGTCTCAAAACCGCTCTGTGAAAAGCAAGGTTAAACTGTGTGACTCGAACACAAACATCACAAAGAAGTTTGTGAGAATGCTTCAGTATAGTTTTTCTGTGAAGATATTCCCGTTTCCAAAGAAATCTTCAAAGTAGTCCGCATATCCTCTTACAGATTCTACAAAAAGAGAGTTTCCAAACTGCTCAATCAAATGGAGGGTTCAACTCTGTGACCTGAATGCAATCATCACACAGAAGTTTCTGAGAATGCTTCTCTTGAGTTTTTACGTGAAGGTATACCCGTTTCGAACGAAGGCCTCACAGTGGTCCAAATATCCACCTGCAGATTCTACCAAAAGAGTGTCTCAAAGATGAACTATGAAAGGAAGTTTCAAATCTGTGAGTTGTATGCAAACATCACAAAGAAGTTTCGGAGAATGCTTCCTTGTAGTTCTGGGAAGTTTATCCCGTTTCCAACGCAATCCTCAGAGAGGTCCGAATATCCACCTGTAGATCCTAAAAAAAGTGTGTTTGGAAACTGCTCCATCTAAAGGAATGTTCAGCCCTCTCAGTTAAATACAATCATCGCAAAGTATTTTCTGTGAATGCTTCCGTTTGGTTTTTAGATGAAGTTATTTCCTTTACTACAGTAGGCCTCAAAGCAGTCCAAATCTCCAATCGCAGATTCTACAAAAAGATTGTTTTCAACCTGCTCTATCTATAGGAATGTTCAACTCTGTGAGTCGAATGCAATCATCACAAAGTAGTTTCTGAGAATGCTTCTATCTAGTTTTTATATGCAGATATTTACGTTTCCGCCACAGGCCTCAAATCTCTCCAAATGTCCACTTGCAGATTCAAGAAAAGCAATGTTTCATGGCTGCTCTGTCAAGAGGAAAGTTCAACTCTGCAAGTTGAACACAAACATCACAAAGTAGTTTCTGAGAATGCTTCTGTTTAGTTTTTATGTGAAGATGAACCCGTTTCCAACGAAATCTTCAAAGAGGTCCACATATCCACTTGCAGATTCCAAAGAAAGGGAGTTTCAAAACTGCTCCATCAACAGGATTGTTCAACTCTGTGAGATGAATGCAGTCCTCACAGGAAACATTCTGAGAATGCTTCTGTCTAGGTTTGATGTGAAGATATACCCGTTTCGAAGGAAGGCCACAAAGTGGTCCAAATATCCACTTGCAGATTCTACAGAAATAGTGTTTGAAAGCTGAACTATGAAAGGAAGGTTCAACCCCGTGAGTTGAGTGCAAACATCACAAAGAAGTTTCGGAGAATGCTTCCGATTACTTCTGGGAAGTTTATCCCCTTTCCAACGAAATCCTCGGAGAAGTCCAAATTTCCACTTGCAGATTCTACCAAAAGTGTGTTTGGAGACTGCTCCATCAAAACGAATGTTCAGCTCTCTGAGTTAAACTCCATCGTCACAAAGTGTTTTCTGAGAGTGCTACTGTCTAGTTCTTATATGAAGTTCTTCCCTTTACTACCATAGGACTCAAAGCGGTCCAAATCTCCACTTGCAGATTCGACAGAAAGAGTGTTTCCAAACTGCTCTCTCAAAAGGAATGAATGTCCAACTCTGTGAGTTGAATGCTATCATCACAGAGTCGTTTCTGAGAGTGCTTCTGTGTAGTTTTTACGAGAAGATATTTCCTTTTCCTCCACCATCCCCAAAGCCCTCCAAATGTCCCCCTGCAGATTCTAGAAAACGAGCGTTTCAAAGGTGCTGTATCAGAGGGAAAGTTCAAATGTGTGTGGTAAATGCAAACATCACAAAGAATTTTCTGAGAATGCTTCGGTTTAGCTTTTATGTGAAGTTTATCCCATTTCCAACGAAATCTTCGAAGAGGTCCAAATATCCACTGGCCGATCCCACAGAAAGAGTGTCTCGAAACTGCTGTTTCAAACGGGATCTTCAACTCTGTGAGTTGAATGCAATCATCACAAAGACGTTTCTGACAATGCTTCTCTCTAGTTCTTATGTGAAGATGTTTCCTTTTCCACCACAGGCCTGGAAGCGCTCCACATGTCCACTTGCAGATTCTACAAAAGGAGTGTCTCAAAACCGCTCTGTGAAAAGCGAGGTTAAACTGTGTGACCCGAACACAAACATCACAAAGAAGTTTGCGAGAATGCTTCAGTATAGTTTTTCTGTAAAGATATTCCCGTTTCCAAAGAAATCTTCAAAGAAGTCCGCATATCCTTTTACAGATTATACAAAAAGAGAGTTTCCAAACTGCTCAATCAAATGGAGGGTTCAACTCTGTGACCTGAATGCAATCATCACATAGAAGTTTCTGAGAATGCTCCTCTTGAGTTTTTACGTGAAGGTGTCCCCGTTTCGAATGAAGGCCTCACAGTGGTCCAAATATCCACCTGCAGATTCTACCAAAAGAATGTCTCAAAGCTGAACTATGAAAGGAAGGTTCAACTCTGTGAGTTGTATGCAAACATCACAAAGAAGTTTCGGAGAATGCTTCCGTGTAGTTCTGGGAAGTTTATCCCGTTTCCAACGCAATCCTCAGAGAGGTCCGAATATCCACCTGTAGATCCTACAAAAAGTGTGTTTGGAAACTGCTCCATCTAAAGGAATGTTCAGCTCTCTCAGTTAAATACAATCATCGCAAAGAATTTTCTGTGAATGCTTCCGTTTGGTTTTTATGTGAAGTTATTTCCTTTACTTCCGTAGGCCTCAAAGCCGTCCAAATCTCCAATTGCAGATTCTACAAAAAAGAGTGTTTACAAACTGTTCTATCCATAGGAATGTCCAACTCTGTGAGTCCGATGCAATCATCACAAAGTGGTTTCTGAGAATGCTTCCATCTAGTTTTTATGTGAAGATTTTCCTTTTCCACCACAGGCCTCAAAGCCCTCCAAATGTCCACTTGCAGATTCTAGAAAAAGAGGGTTTCAGAGCTGCTCTGTCAAGAGGAAAGTTCAATTCTTGAAGTGGAACACAAACATCACAAAGCAGTTTCTGAGAATGCTCCTGTTTAGTTTTTCTGTGAAGATGAACCCGTTTCCAACGAAATCTTCACAGAGGTCCACATATCCACTTGCAGAATCCAAAGAAAGAGAGTTTCAAAACTGCTCCATCAGCAGGATTGTTCACCTCTGTGAGTTGAATGCAGTCATCACAGGAAACATTCTGAGAATGCTTCTGTCTAGGTTTGATGTGAAGATATACCCGTTTCGAAGGAAGGCCACAAAGTGGTGCAAATATCCACTTGCAGATTCTACAGAAAGAGTGTTTGAACGCTGAACTATGAAAGGAAGGTTCAACCCTGTGAGTTGAATGCAAACATCACAAAGAAGTTTCGGAGAATGCCTCCGATTACTTCTGGGAAGTTTATCCCCTTTCCAACGAAATCCTCAGAGAAGTCCAAATTTCCACTTGCAGATTCTACCAAAAGTGTGTTTGGAGACTGCTCCATCAAAACGAATGTTCAGCTCTCTGAGTTAAACTCCATCGTCACAAAGAATTTTCTGAGAATGCTACTGTCTAGTTCTTATATGAAGTTCTTCCCTTTACTACCATAGGCCTCAAAGCGGTCCAAATCTCCACTTGCAGATTCGACAGAAAAAGTGTTTCCAAACTGCTCTCTCAAAAGGAATGAATGTCCAACTCTGTGAGTTGAATGCTATCATCACAGAGTCGTTTCTGAGAGTGCTTCTATGTCGTTTTTATGAGAAGATATTTCCTTTTCCACCACAGTCCACAAATCCCTCCAAATGTCCACCTGCAGATTCTAGAAAACGAGCATTTCAAAGGTGCTGTATCAGAGGGAAAGTTCGACTCTGTGAGGTGAATGCAAACATCACAAAGAAGTTTCTGAGAATGCTTCGGTTTAGCTTTTATGTGAAGTTTATCCCATTTCCAACGAAATCTTCGAAGAGGTCCAAATATCCACTGGCCGATTCCACAGAAAGAGTGTTTCGAAACTGCTGTTTCAAACGGGATCTTCAACTCTGTGAGTTGAATGCAATCATCACAAAGACGTTTCTGACAATGCTTCTCTCTAGTTCTTATGTGAAGATGTTTCCTTTTCCACCACAGGCCTGGAAGCGCTCCACATGTCCACTTGCAGATTCTACGAAAGGAGTGTCTCAAAACCGCTCTGTGAAAAGCGAGGTTAAACTGTGTGACCCGAACACAAACATCACAAAGAAGTTTGCGAGAATGCTTCAGTTTAGTTTTTCTTTGAAGATATTCCCGTTTCCAAAGAAATCTTCAAAGAAGTCCGCATATCCTCTTACAGATTCTACAAAAAGACAGTTTCAAAACTGCTCAATCAAATGGAGGGTTCAACTCTGTGACCTGAATGCAAGCATCACACAGAAGTTTCTGAGAATGCTTCTCTTGAGTTTTACGTGAAGGTGTACCCGTTTCGAACGAAGGCCTCACAGTGGTCCAAATATCCACCTGCAGATTCTACCAAAAGAGTGTCTCAAAGCTGAACTATGAAAGGAAGGTTCAACTCTGTGAGTTGCATGCAAACATCACAAAGAACTTTCGGAGAATGCTTCCTTGTAGTTCTCGGAAGATTATCCCATTTCCAACGCAATCCTCAGAGAGGTCCGAATATCCACCTGCAGATCCTACAAAAAGTGTGTTTGGAATCTGCTCCATCTAAAGGAATGTTCAGCTCTCTCAGTTAAATACAATCATCGCAAAGAATTTTCTGTGAATGCTTCCGTTTGGTTTTTATGTGAAATTATTTCCTTTACTTCCGTAGGCCTCAAAGCCGTCCAAATCTCCAATTGCAGATTCCACAAAAAGAGTGTTTACAAACTGTTCTACCCATAGGAATGTCCAACTCTGTGAGTCCGATGCAATCATCACAAAGTGGTTTCTGAGAATGCTTCTATCTAGTTTTCATGTGAAGATATTTCCCTTTCCACCGCAGGCCTCAAAGCCCTCCAAATGTCCACTTGCACATTCTAGAAAAAGAGCGTTTCGTAGCTGCTCTTTCCAGAGGAAAGTTCAATTCCGGAAGTTGAACACAAACATCACAAAGTAGTTTCTGAGAATGCTTCTGTTTAGTTTTTATATGAAGATGAACCCGTTTCCAACGAAATCTTCAAAGAGGTCCACATATCCACTTGCAGATTCCAAAGAAAGGGAGTTTCAAAACTGCTCCATCAACAGGATTGTTCAACTCTGTGAGTTGAATGCAGTCCTCACAGGAAACATTCTGAGAATGCTTCTGTCTAGGTTTGATGTGAAGATATAACCGTTTCAAAGGAAGGCCACAAAGTGGTGCAAATATCCACTTGCAGATTCTGCAGAAAGAGTGTTTGAACGCTGAACTATGAAAGGAAGGTTCAACCCTGTGAGTTGAATGCAAACATCACTAAGAAGTTTCGGAGAATGCCTCCGATTACTTCTGGGAAGTTTATCCCCTTTCCAACGAAATCCTTAGGGAAGTCCAAATTTACACTTGCAGATTCTACCAAAAGTGTGTTTGGAAACTGCTCCATCAAAACGAATGTTCAGCTCTCTGAGTTAAACTCCATCGTCACAAAGAATTTTCTGAGAATGCTACTGTCTAGTTCTTATATGAAGTTCTTCCCTTTACTACCATAGGCCTCAAAGCGGTCCAAATCTCCACTTGCAGATTCGACAGAAAGAGTGTTTCCAAACTGCTCTCTCAAAAGAAATGAATGTCCAACTCTGTGAGTTGAATGCTATCATCACAGAGTCGTTTCTGAGAGTGCTTCTATGTAGTTTTTATGAGAAGATATTCCCTTTTACACCACAGTCCACAAAGCCCTCCCAATGTCCACCTGAAGATTCTAGAAAACGAGCGTTTCAAAGGTGCTGTATCAGAGGGAAAGTTCGACTCTGTGAGGTGAATGCAAACATCACAAAGAAGTTTCTGAGAATGCTTTGGTTTAGCTTTTATCTGAAGTTTATCCCATTTCCAACGAAATCTTCGAAGAGGTCCAAATATCCACTGGCCGATCCCACAGAAAGAGTGTTTTGAAACTGCTGTTTCATACAGGATCTTCAACTCTGTGAGTTGAATGCAATCATCACAAAGACCTTTCTGACAATGCTTCTCTCTAGTTCTTATGTGAAGATGTTTCCTTTTCCACCACAGGCCTGGAAGCGCTCCACATGTCCACTTGCAGATTGTACAAAAGGAGTGTCTCAAAACCGCTCTGTGAAAAGCGAGGTTAAACTGTGTGACCCGAACACAAACATCACAAAGAAGTTTGCGAGAATGCTTCAGTTTAGTTTTTCTGTGAAGATATTCCCGTTTCCAAAGAAATCTTCAAAGACGTCCGCATACCCTCTTACAGATTCTACAAAAAGAGAGTTTCCAAACTGCTCAATCAAATGGAGGGTTCAACTCTGTGACCTGAATGCAATCACCACACAGAAGTTTCTGAGAATGCTTCTCTTGAGTTTTTACGTGAAGGTATACCCGTTTCGAACGAAGGCCTCACAGTGGTCAAAATATCCACCTGCAGATTCTACCAAAAGACTGTCTCAAAGCTGAACTATGAAAGGAAGGTTCAACTCTGTGAGTTGTATGCAAACATCACAAAGAAGTTTCTGAGAATGCTTCCGTGTAGTTCTGGGAAGTTTATCCCGTTTCCAACGCAATCCTCAGAGAGGTCCGAATATCCACCTGCAGATCCTACAAAAAGTGTGTTTGGAAACTGCTCCATCTAAAGGAATGTTCAGCTCTCTCAGTTAAATACAATCATCGCAAAGAATTTTCTGTGAATGCTTCCATTTGGTTTTTATGTGAAGTTATTTCCTTTACTTCCGTAGGTCTCAAAGCCGTCCAAATCTCCAATTGCAAATTCTACAAAAAGAGTGTTTACAAACTGTTCTATCCATAGGAATGTCCAACTCTGTGAGTCCGATGCAATCATCACAAAGTGGTATCTGAGAATGCTTCTATCTAGTTTTAATGTGAAGATATTTCCTTTTCCACCGCAGGCCTCAAAGCCCTCCAAATGTCCACTTGCACATTCTAGAAAAAGAGTGTTTCATAGCTTCTCTTTCAAGAGGAAAGTTCAACTCTGGAAGTTGAACACAAACATCACAAAGTAGTTTCTGAGAATGCTTCTGTTTAGTTTTTATGTGAAGATGAACCCGTTTCCAACGAAATCTTCAAAGAGGTCCACATATCCACTTGCAGATTCCAAAGAAAGGCAGTTTCAAAACTGCTCCATCAACAGGAGTGTTCAACTCTGTGAGTTGAATGCAGTCCTCACAGGAAACATTCTGAGAATGCTTCTGTCTAGGTTTGATGTGAAGATATACCCGTTTCGAAGGAAGGCCACAAAGTGGTGCAAATATCCACTTGCAGATTCTACAGAAAGAGTGTTTGAAAGCTGAACTATGAAAGGAAGGTTCAGCCTGTGAGTTGAATGCAAACATCACAAAGAAGTTTCGGAGAATGCTTCTATTTAGTTATGTGAAGTTTATCCTTTTTCCAAAGAAATCCTCAGAGAGGTCCCAATATCCACTTGCACGTTTTAAAAAAAGTGTGATTTGAAACTGCTCCATCAAAAAGAATGTTCAGCTCTGTGAGTTAAACTCAATCATCACAAAGAATTTTCTGAGAATCCTACTGTCTAGTTCTCATATGAAGTTCTTCCCTTTACTACCATAGGCCTCAAAGCGGTCCAAATCTCCACTTGCAGATTCGACAGAAAGAGTGTTTCCAAACTGCTCTCTCAAAAGGAATGAATGTCCAACTCTGTGAGTTGAATGCTATCATCACACAGTCGTTTCTGAGAGTGCTTCTATGTAGTTTTTATGAGAAGATATTCCCTTTTCCACCACAGTCCACAAAGCCCTCCAAATGTCCACTTGCAGATTCTAGAAAACGAGCATTTCAAAGTGCTGTATCAGAGGGAAAGTTCGACTCTGTGAGGTGAATGCAAACATCACAAAGAAGTTTCTGAGAATGCTTCGGTTTAGCTTTTATGTGAAGTTTATCTCATTTCCAACGAAATCTTCGAAGAGGTCCAAATATCCACTGGCCGATCCCACAGAAAGAGTGTTTCGAAACTGCTGTTTCAAACGGGATCTTCAACTCTGTGAGTTGAATGCAATCATCACAAAGACGTTTCTGACAATGCTTCTGTCTAGTTTTTATGTGAAGATGTTTCCTTTTCCACCACAGGCCTGGAAGCGCTCCACATGTCCAATTGCAGATTCTACGAAAGGAGTGTTTCAAAACTGCTCTATGAGAAGCAATGTTAAACTGTGTGACTCGAACACAAACATCACAAAGAAGTTTGTGAGAATTCTTTAGTTTAGTTTTTCTGTGAAGATATTCCCGTTTCCAAGGAAATCTTCAAAGAAGTCCACATATCCTCTTAGAGTTTCTACAAAAAGAGAATTTCCAAACTGCTCAATCAAATGGAGGGTTCCACTCTGTGACTTGAATGCAATCATCACACAGAAGTTTCTAAGAATGCTCCTCTTGAGTTTTTAGGTGAAGGTGTACCCGTTTCGAACGAAGGCCTCACAGTGGTCCAAATATCCACCTGCAGATTCTACCAAAAGTGTGTCTCAAAGCTGAAGTATGAAAGGAAGGTTCAACTCTGTGAGTTGTATGCAAACATCACAAAGAAGTTTCGGAGAATGCTTCCGTGTAGTTCTGGGAAGTTTATCCCGTTTCCAATGCAATCCTCAGAGAGGTCCGAATATCCACCTGCAGATCCTACAAAAAGTGTGTTTGGAAACTGCTCCATCTAAAGGAATGTTCAGCTCTCTCAGTTAAATACAATCATCGCAAAGAATTTTCTGTGAATGCTTCCATTTGGTTTTTATGTGAAGTTATTTCCTTTACTTCCGTAGGCCTCAAAGCCGTCCAAATCTCCAATTGCAGATTCTACAAAAAGAGTGTTTACAAACTGTTCTATCCATAGGAATGTCCAAATCTGTGAGTCCGATGCAATCATCACAAAGTGGTTTCTGAGAATGCTTCTATCTAGTTTTAATGTGAAGATATTTCCTTTTCCACCGCAGGCCTCAAAGCCCTCCAAATGTCCACTTGCACATTCTAGAAAAAGAGTGTTTCATAGCTGCTCTTTCAAGAGGAAAGTTCAACTCTGGAAGTTGAACACAAACATCACAAAGTAGTTTCTGAGAATGCTTCTGTTTAGTTTTTATGTGAAGATGAACCCGTTTCCAACGAAATCTTCAAAGAGGTCCACATATCCACTTGCAGATTCCAAAGAAAGGGAGTTTCAAAACTGCTCCATCAACAGGAGTGTTCAACTCTGTGAGTTGAATGCAGTCCTCACAGGAAACATTCTGAGAATGCTTCTGTCTAGGTTTGATGTGAAGATATACCCGTTTCGAAAGAAGGCCACAAAGTGGTGCAAATATCCACTTGCAGATTCTACAGAAAGAGTGTTTGAAAGCTGAACTATGGAAGGATGGTTCAGCCTGTGAGTTGAATGCAAACATCACAAAGAAGTTTCGGAGAATGCTTCCGATTACTTCTGGGAAGTTTATCCCCTTTCCAACGAAATCCTTAGAGAAGTCCAAATTTACACTTGCAGATTCTACCAAAAGTGTGTTTGGAAACTGCTCCATCAAAACGAATGTTCAGCTCTCTGAGTTAAACTCCATCGTCACAAAGAATTTTCTGAGAGTGCTACTGTCTAGTTCTTATATGAAGTTCTTCCCTTTACTACCATAGGCCTCAAAGCGGTCCAAATCTCCACTTGCAGATTCGACAGAAAGAGTGTTTCCAAACTGCTCTCTCAAAAGGAATGAATGTCCAAATCTGTGAGTTGAATGCTATCATCACAGAGTCGTTTCTGAGAGTGCTTCTATGTCGTTTTTATGAGAAGATATTTCCTTTTCCACCACAGTCCACAAAGCCCTCCAAATGTCCACCTGCAGATTCTAGAAAACGAGCATTTCAAAGGTGCTGTATCAGAGGGAATGTTCGACTCTGTGAGGTGAATGCAAACATCACAAAGAAGTTTCTGAGAATGCTTCGGTTTAGCTTTTATGTGAAGTTTATGCCATTTCCAACGAAATCTTCAAAGAGGTCCAAATATCCACTGGCCGATCCCACAGAAAGAGTGTTTTGAAACTGCTGTTTCAAACGGAATCTTCAACTCTGCGAGTTGAATGCAATCATCACAAAGACGTTTCTGACAATGCTTCTCTCTAGTTCTTATATGAAGATGTTTCCTTTTCCACCACAGGCCTGGAAGCCCTCCACATGTCCACTTGCAGATTCTACGAAAGGAGTGTCTCAAAACCGCTCTGTGAAAAGCGAGGTTAAATTGTGTGACTCGAACACAGACATCACAAAGAAGTTTGTGAGAATGCTTCAGTTTAGTTTTTCTGTGAAGATATTCCCGTTTCCAAAGGAATCTTCAAAGAAGTCCGCATATCCTCTTACAGATTCTACAAAAAGAGAGTTTCCAAACTGCTCAATCAAATGGAGGGTTCAACTCTGTGACCTGAATGCAATCATCACACAGAAGTTTCTGAGAATGCTTTCTCTTGAGTTTTTACGTGAAGGTATACCCGTTTCGAACGAAGGCCTCACAGTGGTCCAAATATCCACCTGCAGATTCTACCACAAGACTGTCTCAAAGCTGAACTATGAAAGGAAGGTTCAACTCTGTGAGTTGTATGCAAACATCACAAAGAAGTTTCGGAGAATGCTTCCGTGTAGTTCTCGGAAGTTTATCCCGTTTCCAACGCAATCCTCAGAGAGGTCCGAATATCCACCTGCAGATCCTACAAAAAGTGTGTTTGGAAACTGCTCCATCTAAAGGAATGTTCAGCTCTCTCAGTTAAATACAATCATCACAAAGAATTTTCTGTGAATGCTTCCGTTTGGTTTTTATGTGAAGTTATTTCCTTTACTTCCGTAGGCCTCAAAGCCGTCCAAATCTCCAATTGCAGATTCTACAAAAAGAGTGTTTACAAACTGTTCTATCCATAGGAATGTCCAACTCTGTGAGTCCGATGCAATGATAAAAAAGTGGTTTCTGAGAATGCTTCTATCTAGTTTTTATATGCAGATATTTACGTTTCCGCCACAGGCCTCAAAGCTCTCCAAATGTCCACTTGCAGATTCAAGAAAAGCAATGTTTCATGGCTGCTCTGTCAAGAGGAAAGTTCAACTCTGCAAGTTGAACACAAACATCACAAAGTAGTTTCTGAGAATGCTTCTGTTTAGTTTTTATGTGAAGATGAACCCGTTTCCAACGAAATCTTCAAAGAGGTCCACATATCCACTTGCAGATTCCAAAAAAAGGGAGTTTGAAAACTGCTCCATCAACAGGAGTGTTCAACTCTGTGAGTTGAATGCAGTCCTCACAGGAAACATTCTGAGAATGCTTCTGTCTAGGTTTGATGTGAAGATATACCCGTTTCGAAGGAAGGCCACAAAGTGGTGCAAATATCCACTTGCAGATTCTACAGAAAGAGTGTTTGAAAGCTGAACTATTAAAGGAAGGTTCAGCCTGTGAGTTGAATGCAAACATCACAAAGAAGTTTCGGAGAATGCTTCCGATTACTTCTGGGAAGTTTATCCCCTTTCCAACGAAATCCTCAGAGAAGTCCAAATTTACACTTGCAGATTCTACAGAAAGTGTGTTTGGAAACTGCTCCATCAATACGAATGTTCAGCTCTCTGAGTTAAACTCCATCGTCACAAAGAATTTTCTGAGAGTGCTACTGTCTAGTTCTTATATGAAGTTCTTCCCTTTACTACCATAGGCCTCAAAGCGGTCCAAATCTCCACTTGCAGATTCGACAGAAAGAGTGTTTCCAAACTGCTCTCTCAAAAAGAATGAATGTCCAAATCTCTGAGTTAAATGCTATCATCACAGAGTCGTTTCTGAGAGTGCTTCTGTGTAGTTTTTATGAGAAGATATTTCCTTTTCCACCACCATCCCCAAAGCCCTCCAAATGTCCACCTGCAGATTCTAGAAAACGAGCGTTTCAAAGGTGCTGTATCAGAGGGAATGTTCAACTCTGTGAGGTGAATGCAAACATCACAAAGAAGTTTCTGAGAATGCTTCGGTTTAGCTTTTATGTGAAGTTTATCCCATTTCCAACGAAATCTTCGAAGAGGTCCAAATATCCACTGGCCGATCCCACAGAAAGAGTGTTTCGAAACTGCTGTTTCAAACGGAATCTTCAACTCTGTGAGTTGAATGCAATCATCACAAAGACGTTTCTGAAAATACTTCTCTCTAGTTCTTATGTGAAGATGTTTCCTTTTCCACCACAGGCCTGGAAGCGCTCCACATGTCCACTTGCAGATTCTACGAAAGGAGTGTCTCAAAACCGCTCTGTGAAAAGCGAGGTTAAACTGTGTGACCCGAACACAAACATCACAAAGAAGTTTGCGGGAATGCTTCAGTTTAGTTTTTCTGTGAAGATATTCCCCTTTCCAAAGAAATCTTCAAAGAAGTCCGCATATCCTCTTACAGATTCTACAAAAAGAGAGTTTCCAAACTGCTCAATCAAATGGAGGGTTCAACTCTGTGACCTGAATGCAATCGTCACACAGAAGTTTCTGAGAATGCTTCTCTTCAGTTTTTACGTGAAGGTATAACCGCTTCGAACGAAGGCCTCACAGTGGTCCAAATATCCACCTGCAGATTCTACCAAAAGACTGTCTCAAAGCTGAACTATGAAAGGAAGGTTCAACTCTGTGAGTGGTATGCAAACATCACAAAGAAGTTTCGGAGAATGCTTCCTTGTAGTTCTGGGAAGTTTATCCCGTTTCCAACGCAATCCTCAGAGAGGTCCGAATATCCACCTGCAGATCCTACAAAAAGTGTGTTTGGAAACTGCTCCATCTAAAGGAATGTTCAGCTCTCTCAGTTAAATACAATCATCGCAAAGAATTTTCTGTGAATGCTTCAGTTTGGTTTTTATGTGAAGTTATTTCCTTTACTTCCGTAGGTCTCAAAGCCGTCCAAATCTCCAATTACAGATTCTACAAAAAGAGTGTTTACAAACTGTTCTATCCATAGGAATGTCCAACTCTGTGAGTCCGATGCAATCATCACAAAGTGGTTTCTGAGAATGCTTCTATCTAGTTTTCATGTGAAGATATTTCCCTTTCCACCGCAGGCCTCAAAGCCCTCCAAATGTCCACTTGCTCATTCTAAAAAAAGAGCGTTTCATAGCTGCTCTTTCCAGAGGAAAGTTCAATTCCGGAAGTTGAACACAAACATCACAAAGTAGTTTCTGAGAATGCTTCTGTTTAGTTTTTATGTGAAGATGAACCCGTTTCCAACGAAATCTTCAAAGAGGTCCACATATCCACTTGCAGATTCCAAAGAAAGGGAGTTTCAAAACTTCTCCGTCAACAGGAGTGTTCAACTCTGTGAGTTGAATGCAGTCCTCACAGGAAACATTCTGAGAATGCTTCTGTCTAGGTTTGATGTGAAGATATACCCGTTTCGAAGGAAGACCACAAAGTGGTGCAAATATCCACTTACAGATTCTACAGAAAGAGTGTTTGAAAGCTGAAATATGAAACGAAGGTTTAGCCTGTGAGTTGAATGCAAACATCACAAAGAAGTTTCGGAGAATGCTTCCGATTACTTCTGGGAAGTTTATCCCCTTTCCAACGAAATCCTCAGAGAAGTCCAAATTTCCACTTGCAGATTCTACCAAAAGTGTGTTTGGAAACTGCTCCATCAAAATGAATGTTCAGCTCTCTGAGTTAAACTCCATCGTCACAAAGAATTTTCTGAGAGTGCTACTGTCTAGTTCTTATATGAAGTTCTTCCCCTTACTACCATAGGCCTCACAGCGGTCCAAATCTCCACTTGTAGATTCAACAGAAAGAGTGTTTCCAAACTGCTCTCTCAAAAGGAATGAATGTCCAACTACTGTGAGTTGAATGCTATCATCACAGAGTCGTTTGCTGAGAGTGCTTCTATGTAGTTTTTATGAGAAGATATTCCCTTTTCCACCACAGTCCACAAAGCCCTCCAAATGTCCACTTGCAGATTCTAGAAAACGAGCATTTCAAAGTGCTGTATCAGAGGGAAAGTTCGACTCTGTGAGGTGAATGCAAACATCACAAAGAAGTTTCTGAGAATGCTTCGGTTTAGCTTTTATGTGAAGTTTACCCCATTTCCAACGAAATCTTCAAAGAGGTCCAAATATCCACTTGCGGATCCCACAGAAAGGGTGTTTCGAAACTGCTGTTTCAAAAGGAATCTTCAACTCTGTGAGTTTAATGCAGTCTTCACAAAGAAGTTTCTGACAATGCTTCTCTCTAGTTCTTATGTGAAGATGTTTCCTTTTCCACCACAGGCCTGGAAGCGCTCCACATGTCCACTTGCAGATTCTACGAAAGGAGTGTCTCAAAACCGCTCTGTGAAAAGCGAGGTTAAACTGTGTGACTCGAACACAAACATCACAAAGAAGTTTGTGAGAATGCTTCAGTTTAGTTTTTCTGTGAAGATATTCCCGTTTCCAAAGAAATCTTCAAAGAACTCCGCATATCCTCTTACAGATTCTACAAAAAGAGAGTTTCCAAACTGCTCAATCAAATGGAGGGTTCAACTCTGTGACCTGAATGCAATCATCACACAGAAGTTTCTGAGAATGCTTCTCTTGAGTTTTTACGTGAAGGTGTACCCGTTTCGAACGAAGGCCTCACAGTGGACCAAATATCCACCTGCAGATTCTACCAAAAGAGTGTCTCAAAGCTGAACTATGAAAAGAAGGTTCAACTCTGTGAGTTGTATGCAAACATCACAAAGAAGTTTCGGAGAATGCTTCCGTGTATTTCTGGGAAGTTTATCCCGTTTCCAACGCAATCCTCAGAGAGGTCCGAATATCCACTTGCAGATCCTACAAAAAGTGTGTTTGGAAACTGATCTATGTAAAGGAATGTTCAGCTCTCTCAGTTAAACACAATCATCGCAAAGAATTTTCTGTGATTGCTTCCGTTTGGTTTTTATGTGAAGTTATTTCCTTTACTTCCGTAGGCCTCAAAGCCGTCCAAATCTCCAATTGCAGATTCTAAAAAAAGAGTGTTTACAAACTGTTCTATCCATAGGAATGCCCAACTCTGTGAGTCCGATGCAATCATCACAAAGTGGTTTCTGAGAATGCTTCTATCTAGTTTTCATGTGAAGATATTTCCCTTTCCACCACAGGCCTCAAAGCCCTACAAATGTCCACTTGCACATTCTAGAAAAAGAGCGTTTCGTAGCTGCTCTTTCCAGAGGAAAGTTCAATTCCGGAAGTTGAACACAAACATCACAAAGTAGTTTCTGAGAATGCTTCTGTTTAGTTTTTCTTTGAAGATGAACCCTTTTCCAACGAAATCTTCAAAGAGGTCCACATATCCACTTTCAGATTCCAGAGAAAGAGAGATTCAAAACTGCTCCATCAACAGGATTGTTCACCTCTGTGCGTTGAATGCAGTCATCACAGGAAACATTCTGAGAATGCTTCTGTCTAGGTTTGATGTGAAGATATACCCGTTTCGAAGGAAGGCCACAAAGTGGTGCAAATATCCACTTGCAGATTCTACAGAAAGAGTGTTTGAAAGCTGAACTATGAAAGGAAGGTTCAGCCTGTGAGTTGAATGCAAACATCACAAAGAAGTTTCGGAGAATGCTTCCGATTACTTCTGGGAAGTTTATCCCGTTTCCAACGAAATCCTCAGAGAAGTCCAAATTTCCACTTGCAGATTCTACAAAAAGTGTGTTTGGAAACTGCTCCATCAAAACGAATGTTCAGCTCTCTGAGTTAAACTCAATCGTCACAAAGAGTTTTCTGAGAGTGCTACTGTCTAGTTCTTATATGAAGTTCTTCCCTTTACTACCATAGGCCTCAAAGCGGTCCAAATCTCCATTTGCAGATTCGACAGAAAGAGTGTTTCCAAACTGCTCTCTCAAAAGGAATGAATGTCCAACTCTGGGAGTTGAATGCTATCATCACAGAGTCGTTTCTGAGAGTGCTTCTATGTCGTTTTTATGAGAAGATATTTCCTTTTCCACCACAGTCCACAAAGCCCTCCAAATGTCCACCTGCAGATTCTAGAAAACGAGCGTTTCAAAGGTGCTGTATCAGAGGGAATGTTCGACTTCTGTGAGGTGAATGCAAACATCACAAAGAAGTTTCTGAGAATGCTTCGGTTTAGCTTTTATGTGAAGTTTATCCCATTTCCAACGAAATCTTCGAAGAGGCCCAAATATCCACGGGCCGATCCCACAGAAAGTCTGTTTCGAAACTGCTGTTTCAAACGGAATCTTCAACTCTGTGAGTTGAATGCAATCATCACAAAGAAGTTTCTGACAATGCTTCTCTCTAGTTCTTATGTGAAGATGTTTCCTTTTCCACCACAGGCCTGGAAGCGCTCCACATGTCCACTTGCAGATTCTACGAAAGGAGTGTCTCAAAACCGCTCTGTGAAAAGCGAGGTTAAACTGTGTGACTCGAACACAAACATCACAAAGAAGTTTGTGAGAATGCTTCAGTATAGTTTTTCTGTGAAGATATTCCCGTTTCCAAAGAAATCTTCATAGAAGTCCGCATATCCTCTTACAGTTTCTACAAAAAGAGAGTTTCCATACTGCTCAATCAAATGGAGGGTTCAACTCTGTGACCTGAATGCAATCATCACACAGAAGTTTCTGAGAATGCTCCTCTTGAGTTTTTACGTGAAGGTGTACCCGTTTCGAACGAAGGCCTCACAGTGGTCCAAATATCCACCTGCAGATTCTACCAAAAGACTGTCTCAAAGCTGAACTATGAAAGGAAGGTTGAACTCTGTGAGTTGTATGCAAACATCAGAAAGAAGTTTCGGAGAATGCTTCCGTGTAGTTCTGGGAAGTTTATCCCGTTTCCAACGCAATCCTCAGAGAGGTCCGAATCACCACCTGCAGATCCTACAAAAAGCGTGTTTGGAAACTGCTCCATCTAAAGGAATGTTCAGCTCTCTCAGTTAAATACAATCATCGCAAAGAATTTTCTGTGAATGCTTCCGTTTGGTTTTTATGTGAAGTTATTTCCTTTACTTCCGTAGGTCTCAAAGCCGTCCAAATCTCCAATTGCAGATTCTACAAAAAGAGTGTTTACAAACTGTTCTATCCATAGGAATGTCCAACTCGGTGAGGCCGATGCAGTCATCACAAAGTGGTTTCTGAGAATGCTTCTATCTAGTTTTCATGTGAAGATATTTCCCTTTCAACCACAGGCCTCAAAGCCCTCCAAATGTCCACTTGCACATTCTAGAAAAAGAGCGTTTTGTAGCTGCTCTTTCCAGAGGAAAGTTCAATTCCGGAAGTTGAACACAAACATCACAAAGTAGTTTCTGAGAATGCTTCTGTTTAGTTTTTATGTGAAGATGAACCCGTTTCCAACGAAAACTTCAAAGAGGTCCACATATCCACTTGCAGATTCCAAAGAAAGGGAGTTTCGAAACTGCTCCATCAACAGGATTGTTCAACTCTGTGAGTTGAATGCAGTCCTCACAGGAAACATTCTGAGAATGCTTCTGTCTAGGTTTGATGTGAAGATATACCCGTTTCGAAGGAAGGCCACAAAGTGGTGCAAATATCCACTTGCAGATTCTTCAGAAAGAGTGTTTGAAAGCTGAACTATGAAAGGAAGGTTCAACCCTGTGAGTTGAATGCAAACATCACAAAGAAGTTTCGGAGAATGCCTCCGTGTAGTTCTCGGAATTTTATCGCGTTTCCAACGAAATCCTCAGAGAAGTCCAAATTTCCACTTGCAGATTCTACAAAAAGTGTGGTTGGAAACTGCTCCATCAAAACGAATGTTCAGCTCTCTGAGATAAACTCAATCGTCACAAAGAATTTTCTGAGAGTGCTACTGTCTAGTTCTTATATGAAGTTCTTCCCTTTACTACCATAGGCCTCAAAGCGGTCCAAATCTCCACTTGCAGATTCGACAGAAAGAGTGTTTCCAAACTGCTCTCTCAAAAGGAATGAATGTCCAACTCTGTGAGTTGAATGCTATCATCACAGAGTCGTTTCTGAGAGTGCTTCTATGTAGTTTTTATGAGAAGATATTCCCTTTTCCACCACAGTCCACAAAGCCCTCCCAATGTCCACCTGCAGATTCTAGCAAACGAGCGTTTCAAAGGTGCTGTATCAGAGGGAAAGTTCGACTCTGTGAGGTGAATGCAAACATCACAAAGAAGTTTCTGAGAATGCTTCGGTTTAGCTTTTATGTGAAGTTTATCCCATTTCCAACTAAATCTATAAAGAGGTCCAAATATCCACGGGCCGATCCCACAGAAAGAGTGTTTCGAAACTGCTGTTTCAAACGGAATCTTTAACTCTGTGAGTTGAATACAATCATCACAGAGAAGTTTCTGACAATGCTTCTCTCTACTTCTTATGTGAAGATGTTTCCTTTTCCACCACAGGCCTGGGAGCCCTCCACATGTCCACTTGCAGATTCTACGAAAGGAGTGTCTCAAAACCGCTCTGTGAAAAGCGAGGTTAAACTGTGTGACTCGAACACAAACATCACAAAGAAGTTTGTGAGAATGCTTCAGTTTAGTTTTTCTGTGAAGATATTCCCCTTTCCAAAGAAATCTTCAAAGAAGTCCGCATATCCTCTTACAGATTCTACAAAAAGAGAGTTTCCAAACTGCTCAATCAAATGGAGGGTTCAACTCTGTGACCTGAATGCAATCATCACACAGAAGTTTCTGAGAATGCTTCTCTTGAGTTTTTACATGAAGGTATACCAGTTTCGAAAGAAGGCCTCACAGTGGTCCAAATATCCACCTGCAGATTCTACCAAAAGACTGTCTCAAAGCTGAAATATGAAAGGAAGGTTCAACTCTGTGAGTTGTATGCAAACATCACAAAGAAGTTTCGGAGAATGCTTCCGTGTAGTTCTGGGAAGTTTATCCCGTTTCCAATGCAATCCTCAGAGAGGTCCGAATATCCACCTGCAGATCCTACAAAAAGTGTGTTTGGAAACTGCTCCATCTAAAGGAATGTTCAGCTCTCTCAGTTAAATACAATCATCGCAAAGAATTTTCTGTGAATGCTTCCGTTTGGTGTTTATATGAAGTTATTTCCTTTACTACCGTAGGTCTCAAAGCAGTCCAAATCTCCAATTGCAGATTCTACAAAAAGAGTGTTTACAAACTGTCCTATCCATAGGAGTGCCCAACTCTGTGAGTCCGATGCAATCATCACAAAGTAGTTTCTGAGAATGCTTCTATCTAGTTTTCATGTGAAGATATTTCCCTTTCCACCGCAGGCCTCAAAGCCCTCCAAATGTCCACTTGCACATTCTAGAAAAAGAGCGTTTCATAGCTGCTCTTTCCAGAGGAAAGTTCAATTCCGGAAGTTGATCACAAACATCACAAAGTGGTTTCTGAGAATGCTTCTGTTTAGATTTTATGTGAAGATGAACCCGTTTCCAACGAAATCTTCAAAGAGGTCCACATATCCACATGCAGATTCCAAAGAAAGGGAGTTTCAAAACTGCTCCGTCAACAGGATTGTTCAACTCTGTGAGTTGAATGCAGTCCTCACAGGAAACATTCTGAGAATGCTTCTGTCTAGGTTTGATGTGAAGATATACCCGTTTCGAAGGAAGGCCACAAAGTGGTGCAAATATCCACTTGCAGATTCTACAGAAAGAGTGTTTGAAAGCTGAACTATGAAAGGAAGGTTCAACCCTGTGAGTTGAATGCAATCATCACAAAGAAGTTTCGGAGAATGCTTCCGATTACTTCTGGGAAGTTTATCCCCTTTAAAACGAAATCCTTAGAGAAGTCCAAATTTACACTTGCAAATTCTACCAAAAGTGTGTTTGGAAACTGCTCCATCAAAACGAATGTTCAGCTCTCTGAGTTAAACTCCATCGTCACAAAGAATTTTCTGAGAGTGCTCCTGTCTAGTTCTTATATGAAGTTCTTTCCTTTACTACCATAGGCCTCAAAGCGGTCCAAATCTCCACTTGCAGATTCTGCAGAAAGAGTGTTTCCAAACTGCTCTCTCAAAAGGAATGTTCAACTCTGTGAGTTGAATGCTATCATCACAGAGTCGTTTCTGAGAGTGCTTCTGTGTAGTTTTTACGAGAAGATATTTCCTTTTCCACCACCATCCCCAAAGCCCTCCAAATGTCC
The DNA here is from genome assembly GCF_000001405.40 of Homo sapiens. Classification (NCBI taxonomy): domain Eukaryota; kingdom Metazoa; phylum Chordata; class Mammalia; order Primates; family Hominidae; genus Homo; species Homo sapiens. The sequence goes on along the minus strand of NC_000011.10, from coordinate 54,371,775 downwards.
ACCTGCAGATTCTAGAAAACGAGCGTTTCAAAGGTGCTGTATCAGAGGGAATCTTCAACTCTGTGAGGTGAATGCAAACATCACAAAGAAGTTTCTGAGAATGCTTTGGTTTAGCTTTTATGTGAAGTTTATCTCATTTCCAACGAAATCTTCAAAGAGGTCCAAGTATCCACTGGCCGGTCCCACAGAAAGACTGTTTCGAACCTGCTGTTTCAAACGGAATCTTCAACTCTGTGAGTTCAATGCAATCATCACAAAGAAGTTTCTGACAATGCTTCTCTCTAGTTCTTATGTGAAGATGTTTCCTTTTCCACCACAAGCCTGGAAGCGCTCCACATGTCCACTTGCAGATTCTACGAAAGGAGTGTCTCAAAACCGCTCTGTGAAAAGCGAGGTTAAGCTGTGTGACTCGAACACAAACATCACAAAGAAGTTTGTGAGAATGCTTCAGTTTAGTTTTTCTGTGAAGATATTCCCGTTTCCAAAGAAATCTTCAAAGAATTCCGCATATCCTCTTACAGATTCTACAAAAAGAGAGTTTCCAAACTGCTCAATCAAATGGAGGGTTCAACTCTGTGACCTGAATGCAATCATGACACAGAAGTTTCTGAGAATGCTTCTCTTGAGTTTTTACAGTGAAGGTATACCCTTTTCGAACGAAGGCCTCACAGTGGTCCTAATATCCACCTGCAGATTATACCAAAAGACTGTCTCAAAGCTGAACTATGAAAGGAAGGTTCAACTCTGTGAGTTGTATGCAAACATCACAAAGAAGTTTCGGAGAATGCTTCCGTGTAGTTCTGGGAAGTTTATCCCGTTTCCAATGCAATCCTCAGAGAGGTCCGAATATCCACCTGCAGATCCTACAAAAAGTGTGTTTGGAAACTGCTCCATCTAAAGGAATGTTCAGCTCTCTCAGTTAAATACAATCATCGCAAAGAATTTTCTGTGAATGCTTCCGTTTGCTTTTTATGTGAAGTTATTTCCTTTACTTCCATAGGCCTCAAAGCCGTCCAAATCTCCAATTGCAGATTCTACAAAAAGAGTGTTTACAAACTGTTCTATCCATAGGAATGTCCAACTCTGTGAGTCCGATGCAATCATCACAAAGTGGTATCTGAGAATGCTTCTATCTAGTTTTCATGTGAAGATATTTCCGTTTCCACCGCAGGCCTCAAAGCCCTCCAAATGTCCACTTGCACATTCTAGAAAAAGAGCGTTTCGTAGCTGCTCTTTCCAGAGGAAAGTTCAATTCCGGAAGTTGAACACAAACATCACAAAGTAGTTTCTGAGAATGCTTCGGTTTAGCTTTTATGTGAAGTTTATCCCGTTTCCAACGAAATCTTCAAAGAGGTCCACATATCCACTTGCAGATTCCAAAGAAAGGGAGTTTCGAAACTGCTCCATCAACAGGATTGTTCAACTCTGTGAGTTGAATGCAGTCCTCACAGGAAACATTCTGAGAATGCTTCTGTCTAGGTTTGATGTGAAGATATACCCGTTTCGAAGGAAGGCCACAAAGTGGTGCAAATATCCACTTGCAGATTCTACAGAAAGAGTGTTTGAAAGCTGAACTATGAAAGGAAGGTTCATCCCTGTGAGTTGAATACAAACATCACAAAGAAGTTTCGGAGAATGCCTCCGATTACTTCTGGGAAGTTTATCCCCTTTCCAACGAAATCCTCGGAGAAGTCCAAATTTCCACTTGCAGATTCTACAAAAAGTGTGTTTGGAGACTGCTCCATCAAAACGAATGTTCAGCTCTCTGAGTTAAACTCCATCGTCACCAAGAATTTTCTGAGAGTGCTACTGTCTAGTTCTTATATGAAGTTCTTCCCTTTACTACCATAGGCCTCAAAGCGGTCCAAATCTCCACTTGCAGATTCGACAGAAAGAGTGTTTCCAAACTGCTCTCTCAAAAGGAATGAATGTCCAACTCTGTGAGTTGAATGCTATCATCACAGAGTCGTTTCTGAGAGTGCTTCTATGTAGTTTTTATGAGAAGATATTCCCTTTTCCACCACAGTCCACAAAGCCCTCCCAATGTCCACCTGCAGATTCTAGAAAACGAGCGTTTCAAAGGTGCTGTATCAGAGGGAAAGTTCGACTCTGTGAGGTGAATGCAAACATCACAAAGAAGTTTCTGAGAATGCTTCCATCTAGTTTTTATGCGAAGATTTTCCTTTTCCACCACAGGCCTCAAAGACCTCCAAATGTCCACTTGCAGATTCTAGAAAAAGAGGGTTTCAGAGCTGCTCTGTCAAGAGGAAAGTTCAATTCTTGAAGTGGAACACAAACATCACAAAGCAGTTTCTGAGAATGCTCCTGTTTAGTTGTTATGTGAAGATGAACCCGTTTCCAACGAAATCTTCAAAGAGGTCCACATATCCACTTGCAGATCCCAAAGAAAGGGAGTTTCAAAACTGCTCCGTCAACAGGATTGTTCAACTCTGTGAGTTGAATGCAGTCATCACAGGAAACCTTCTGAGAATGCTTCTGTCTAGTTTTTATGTGAAGATATACCCATTTCCAACGAAGGCCACAAAATGGTCCAAATATCCACTTGCAGTTTCTACAAATAGAGTGTTTCAAACCTGAACTATCAAAGGAAGTTTCATCTCTGTGAGTTGAATGCAAATATCACAAAGAAGTTTTTGAGAATGCTTCCGATTACTTCTGGGAAGTTTATCCCCTTTCCAACGAAATCCTCAGAGAAGTCCAAATTTCCACTTGCAGATTCTACCAAAAGTGTGTTTGGAATCTGCACCATCAAAACGAATGTTCAGCTCTCTGAGTTAAACTCCATCGTCACAAAGAATTTTCTGAGAGTGCTACTGTCTAGTTCTTATATGAAGTTCTTCCCTTTACTACCATAGGCCTCAAAGCGGTCCAAATCTCCACTTGCAGATTCGACAGAAAGAGTGTTTCCAAACTGCTCTCTCAAAAGGAATGAATGTCCAACTGTGTCAGTTGAGTGCTATCATCTCAGAGTCGTTTCTGAGAGTGCTTCTATGTAGTTTTTATGAGAAGATATTCCCTTTTCCACCACAGTCCACAAAGCCCTCCCAATGTCCACCTGCAGATTCTAGAAAACGAGCGTTTCAAAGGTGCTGTATCAGAGGGAAAGTTCGACTCTGTGAGGTGAATGTAAACATCACAAAGAAGTTTCTGAGAATGCTTCGGTTTAGCTTTTATGTGAAGTTTATGCCATTTCCAACGAAATCTTCGAAGAGGTCCAAATATCCACTGGCCGATCACACAGAAAGAGTGTTTCGAAACTGCTGTTTCAAACGGGATCTTCAACTCTGTGAGTTGAATGCAATCATCACAAAGACATTTCTGACAATGCTTCTCTCTAGTTCTTATGTGAAGATGTTTCCTTTTCCACCACAGGCCTGGAAGCGCTCCACATGTCCACTTGCAGATTCTACGAAAGGAGTGTCTCAAAACCGCTCTGTGAAAAGCGAGGTTAAACTGTGTGACCCGAACACAAACATCACAAAGAAGTTTGCGAGAATGCTTCAGTTTAGTTTTTCTGTGAAGATATTCCCGTTTCCAAAGAAGTCTTCAAAGAAGTCCGCATATCCTTTTACAGATTATACAAAAAGAGAGTTTCCAAACTGCTCAATCAAATGGAGGGTTCAACTCTGTGACCTGAATGCAATCATCACATAGAAGTTTCTGAGAATGCTCCTCTTGAGTTTTTACGTGAAGGTGTACCCGTTTCGAACGAAGGCCTCACAGTGGTCCAAATATCCACCTGCAGATTCTACCAAAAGAGTGTCTCAAAGCTGAACTATGAAAGGAAGGTTCAACTCTGTGAGTTGTATGCAAACATCACAAAGAAGTTTCGGAGAATGCTTCCGTGTAGTTCTGGGAAGTTTATCCCGTTTCCAATGCAATCCTCAGAGAGGTCCGAATATCCACCTGCAGATCCTACAAAAAGTGAGTTTGGAAACTGCTCCATCTAAAGGAATGTTCAGCTCTCTCAGTTAAATACAATCATCGCAAAGAATTTTCTGTGAATGCTTCCGTTTGGTTTTTATGTGAAGTTATTTCCTTTACTTCCGTAGGCCTCAAAGCCGTCCAAATCTCCAATTGCAGATTCTACAAAAAGAGTGTTTACAAACTGTTCTACCCATAGGAATGTCCAACTCTGTGAGTCCGATGCAATCATCAAAAAGTGGTTTCTGAGAATGCTTCTATCTAGTTTTCATGTGAAGATATTTCCCTTTCCACCGCAGGCCTCAAAGCCCTCCAAATGTCCACTTGCACATTCTAGAAAAAGAGCGTTTCATAGCTGCTCTTTCCAGAGGAAAGTTCAATTCCGGAAGTTGAACACAAACATCACAAAATAGTTTCTGAGAATGCTTCTGTTTAGTTTTTTTGTGAAGATGAACCCGTTTCCAACGAAATCTTCAAAGAGGTCCACATATCCACTTGCAGATTCCAAAGAATGGGAGTTTCAAAACTGCTCCATCAACAGGATTGTTCAACTCTGTGAGTTGAATGCAGTCCTCACAGGAAACATTCTGAGAATGCTTCTGTCTAGGTTTGATGTGAAGATATACCCGTTTCGAAGGAAGGCCACAAAGTGGTGCAAATATCCACTTGTAGATTCTACAGAAAGAGTGTTTGAAAGCTGAACTATGAAAGGAATGTTCAACCCTGTGAGTTGAATGCAAACATCACAAAGAAATTTTGGAGAATGCTTCCGATTACTTCTGGGAAGTTTATCCCCTTTCCAACGAAATCCTTAGAGAAGTCCAAATTTACACTTCCAGATTCTACCAAAAGTGTGTTTGGAAACTGCTCCATCAAAACGAATGTTCAGCTCTCTGAGTTAAACTCCATCGTCACAAAGAATTTTCTGAGAGTGCTACTGTCTAGTTCTTATATGAAGTTCTTCCCTTTACTACCATAGGCCTCACAGCGGTCCAAATCTCCACTTGTAGATTTAACAGAAAGAGTGTTTCCAAACTGCTCTCTCAAAAGGAATGAATGTCCAACTCTGTGAGTTGAATGCTATCATCACAGAGTCGTTTCTGAGAGTGCTTCTATGTCGTTTTTATGAGAAGATATTTCCTTTTCCACCACAGTCCACAAAGCCCTCCAAATGTCCACCTGCAGATTCTAGAAAACGAGCGTTTCAAAGGTGCTGTATCAGAGGGAAAGTTCGACTCTGTGAGGTGAATGCAAACATCACAAAGAAGTTTCTGAGAATGCTTCGGTTTAGCTTTTATGTGAAGTTTATGCCATTTCCAACGAAATCTTCAAAGAGGTCCAAATATCCACTGGCCGATCCCACAGAAAGAGTGTTTCGAAACTGCAGTTTCAAACGGAATCTTCAACTCTGCGAGTTGAATGCAATCATCACAAAGAAGTTTCTGACAATGCTTCTCTCTAGTTCTTATGTGAAGATGTTTCCTTTTCCACCACAGGCCTGGAAGCGCTCCACATGTCCACTTGCAGATTCTACGAAAGGAGTGTCTCAAAACCGCTCTGTGAAAAGCGAGGTTAAACTGGGTGACCCGAACACAAACATCACAAAGGAGTTTGCGAGAATGCTTCAGTTTAGTTTTTCTGTGAAGATATTCCCGTTTCCAAAGAAATCTTCAAAGAAGTCCGCATATCCTCTTACAGATTCTACAAAAAGAGAGTTTCCAAACTGCTCAATCAAATGGAGGGTTCAACTCTGTGACCTGAATGCAATCACCACACAGAAGTTTCTGAGAATGCTCCTCTTGAGTTTTAACGTGAAGGTGTACCCGTTTCGAACGAAGGCCTCACAGTGGTCCAAATATCCACCTGCAGATTCTACCAAAAGAGTGTCTCAAAGCTGAACTATGAAAGGAAGGTTCAACTCTGTGAGTTGTATGCAAACATCACAAAGAAGTTTCGGAGAATGCTTCCGTGTAGTTCTGGGAAGTTTATCCCGTTTCCAATGCAATCCTCAGAGAGGTCCGAATATCCACCTGCAGATCCTACAAAAAGTGTTTTTGGAAACTGCTCCATCTAAAGGAATGTTCAGCTCTCTCAGTTAAATACAATCATCGCAAAGAATTTTCTGTGAATGCTTCCATTTGGTTTTTATGTGAAGTTATTTCCTTTACTTCCGTAGGCCTCAAAGCCGTCCAAATCTCCAATTGCAGATTCTACAAAAAGAGTGTTTACAAACTGTTCTATCCATAGGAATGTCCAACTCTGTGAGTCCGATGCAATCATCAAAAAGTGGTTTCTGAGAATGCTTCTATCTAGTTTTCATGTGAAGGTATTTCCCTTTCCACCGCAGGCCTCAAAGCCCTCCAAATGTCCACTTGCACATTCTAGAAAAAGAGCGTTTCATAGCTGCTCTTTCCAGAGGAAAGTTCAATTCCGGAAGTTGAACACAAACATCACAAAGTAGTTTCTGAGAATGCTTCTGTTTAGTTTTTATGTGAAGATGAACCCGTTTCCAACGAAATCTTCAAAGAGGTCCACAAATCCACTTGCAGATTCCAAAGAAAGGGAGTTTCAAAACTGCTCCATCAACAGGATTGTTCAACTCTGTGAGTTGAATGCAGTCCTCACAGGAAACATTCTGAGAATGCTTCTGTCTAGGTTTGATGTGAAGATGTACCCGTTTCGAAGGAAGGCCACTAAGTGGTGCAAATATCCACTTGCAGATTCTACAGAAAGAGTGTTTGAACGCTGAACTATGAAAGGAAGGTTCAACCCTGTGAGTTGAATGCAAACATCACAAAGAAGTTTCGGAGAATGCCTCCGATTACTTCTGGGAATTTTATCCCCTTTCCAACGAAATCCTTAGAGAAGTCCAAATTTACACTTGCAGATTCTACCAAAAGTGTGTTTGGAAACTGCTCCATCAAAACGAATGTTCAGCTCTCTGAGTTAAACTCCATCGTCACAAAGAATTTTCTGAGAGTGCTACTGTCTAGTTCTTATATGAAGTTCTTCCCTTTACTACCATAGGCCTCAAAGCGGTCCAAATCTCCACTTGCAGATTCGACAGAAAGAGTGTTTCCAAACTGCTCTCTCAAAACGAATGAATGTCCAAATCTGTGAGTTGAATGCTATCATCACAGAGTCGTTTCTGAGAGGGCTTCTATGTAGTTTTTATGAGAAGATATTCCCTTTTCCACCACAGTCCACAAAGCCCTCCCAATGTCCACCTGCAGATTCTAGCAAACGAGCGTTTCAAAGGTGCTGTATCAGAGGGAAAGTTCGACTCTGTGAGGTGAATGCAAACATCACAAAGAAGTTTCTGAGAATGCTTCGGTTTAGCTTTTATGTGAAGTTTATCCCATTTCCAACGAAATCTTCGAAGAGGTCCAAATATCCACTGGCCAATCCCACAGAAAGAGTGTTTCGAAACTGCTGTTTCAAACGGAATCTTCAACTCTGTGAGTTGAATGCAATCATCACAAAGACGTTTCTGAAAATACTTCTCTCTAGTTCTTATGTGAAGATGTTTCCTTTTCCACCACAGGCCTGGAAGCGCTCCACATGTCCACTTGCAGATTCTACAAAAGGAGTGTCTCAAAACCACTCTGAAAAGCGAGGTTAAACTGTGTGACTCGAACACAAACATCACAAAGAAGTTTGTGAGAATGCTTCAGTTTAGTTTTTCTGTGAAGATATTCCCGTTTCCAAGGAAATCTTCAAAGAAGTCCACATATCCTCTTACAGATTCCACAAAAAGAGAGTTTCCAAACTGCTCAATCAAATGGAGGGTTCAACTCTGTGACTTGAATGCAATCATCACACAGAAGTTTCTGAGAATGCTCCTCTTGAGTTTTTACGTGAAGGTGTACCCGTTTCGAACGAAGGCCTCACAGTGGTCCAAATATCCACCTGCAGATTCTACCAAAAGAGTGTCTCAAAGCTGAACTATGAAAGGAAGGTTCAACTCTGTGAGTTGTATGCAAACATCACAAAGAAGTTTCGGAGAATGCTTCCGTGTAGTTCTGGGAAGTTTATCCCGTTTCCAATGCAATCCTCAGAGAGGACCGAATATCCACCTGCAGATCCTACAAAAAGTGTGTTTGGAAACTGCTCCATCTAAAGGAATGCTCAGCTCTCTCAGTTAAATACAATCATCGCAAAGAATTTTCTGTGAATGCTTCCGTTTGGTTTTTATGTGAAGTTATTTCCTTTACTTCCGTAGGCCTCAAAGCCGTCCAAATCTCCAATTGCAGATTCTACAAAAAGAGTGTTTACAAACTGTTCTATCCATAGGAATATCCAACTCTGTGAGTCCGATGCAATCATCACAAAGTGGTTTCTGAGAATGCTTCTATCTAGTTTTCATGTGAAGATATTTCCCTTTCCACCGCAGGCCTCAAAGCCCTCCAAATGTCCACTTGCACATTCTAGAAAAAGAGCGTTTCATAGCTGCTCTTTCCAGAGGAAAGTTCAATTCCGGAAGTTGAACACAAATATCACAAAGTAGTTTCTGAGAATGCTTCTGTTTAGTTTTTATGTGAAGATGAACCCGTTTCCAACGAAATCTTCAAAGAGGTCCACATATCCACTTGCAGATTCCAAAGAAAGGGAGTTTCAAAACTGCTCCGTCAACAGGATTGTTCAACTCTGTGAGTTGAATGCAGTCCTCACAGGAAACATTCTGAGAATGCTTCTGTCTAGTTTTGATGTGAAGATATACCCGTTTCGAAGGAAGGCCACAAAGTGGTGCAAATATCCACTTGCAGATTCTAGAGAAAGAGTGTTTGAAAGCTGAACTATGAAAGGAATGTTCAACCCTGTGAGTTGAATGCAAACATCACAAAGAAGTTTCGGAGAATGCTTCCGATTACTTCTGGGAAGTTTATCCCCTTTCCAACGAAATCCTTAGGGAAGTCCAAATTTACACTTGCAGATTCTACCAAAAGTGTGTTTGGAAATTGCTCCATCAAAACGAATGTTCAGCTCTCTGAGTTAAACTCCATCGTCACAAAGAATTTTCTGAGAATGCTACTGTCTAGTTCTTATATGAAGTTCTTCCCTTTACTACCATAGGCCTCAAAGCGGTCCAAATGTCCACTTGCAGATTCGACAGAAAGAGTGTTTCCAAACTGCTCTCTCAAAAGGAATGAATGTCCAACTCTGTGAGTTGAATGCTATCATCACACAGTCGTTTCTGAGAGTGCTTCTATGTAGTTTTTATGAGAAGATATTCCCTTTTCCACCACAGTCCACAAAGCCCTCCAAATGCCCACCTGCAGATTCTAGCAAACGAGCATTTCAAAGGTGCTGTATCAGAGGGAAAGTTCGACTCTGTGAGGTGAATGCAAACATCACAAAGAAGTTTCTGAGAATGCTTCGGTTTAGCTTTTATGTGAAGTTTATCCCATTTCCAACGAAATCTTCGAAGAGGTCCAAATATCCACTGGCCGATCCCACAGAAAGAGTGTCTCGAAACTGCTGTTTCAAACGGGATCTTCAACTCTGTGAGTTGAATGCAATCATCACAAAGACGTTTCTGACAATGCTTCTCTCTAGTTCTTATGTGAAGATGTTTCCTTTTCCACCACAGGCCTGGAAGCGCTCCACATGTCCACTTGCAGATTCTACAAAAGGAGTGTCTCAAAACCGCTCTGTGAAAAGCGAGGTTAAACTGTGTGACCCGAACACAAACATCACAAAGAAGTTTGCGAGAATGCTTCAGTTTAGTTTTTCTGTGAAGATATTCCCGTTTCCAAAGAAATCTTCAAAGAAGTCCGCATATCCTCTTACAGATTCTACAAAAAGAGAGTTTCCAAACTGCTCAATCAAATGGAGGGTTCAACTCTGTGACCTGAATGCAATCACCACACAGAAGTTTCTGAGAATGCTCCTCTTGAGTTTTTACGTGAAGGTGTCCCCGTTTCGAACGAAGGCCTCACAGTGGTCCAAATATCCACCTGCAGATTCTACCAAAAGAGTGTCTCAAAGCTGAACTATCAAAGGAAGGTTCAACTCTGTGAGTTGTATGCAAACATCACAAAGAAGTTTCGGAGAATGCTTCCGTGTAGTTCTGGGAAGTTTATCCCTTTTCCAACGCAATCCTCACAGAGGTCCGAATATCCACCTGCAGATCCCACAAAAAGTTTGTTTGGAAACTGCTCCATCTAAAGGAATGTTCAGCTCTCTCAGTTAAATACAATCATCGCAAAGAATCTTCTGTGATTGCTTCCGTTTGGTTTTTATGTGAAATTATTTCCTTTACTTCCGTAGGCCTCAAAGCCGTCCAAATCTCCAATTGCAGATTCTACAAAAAGAGTGTTTACAAACTGTTCTACCCATAGGAATGTCCAACTCTGTGAGTCCGATGCAATCATCAAAAAGTGGTTTCTGAGAATGCTTCTATCTAGTTTTCATGTGAAGATATATCCCTTTCCACCGCAGGCCTCAAAGCCCTCCAAATGTCCACTTGCACATTCTAGAAAAAGAGCATTTCATAGCTGCTCTTTCCAGAGGAATGTTCAATTCCGGAAGTTGAACACAAACATCACAAAGTAGTTTCTGAGAATGCTTCTGTTTAGTTTTTATGTGAAGATGAACCCGTTTCCAACGAAATCTTCAAAGAGGTCCACATATCCACTTGCAGATTCCAAAGAAAGGGAGTTTCGAAACTGCTCCGTCAACAGGATTGTTCAACTCTGTGAGTTGAATGCACTCCTCACAGGAAACATTCTGAGAATGCTTCTGTCTAGGTTTGATGTGAAGATATACCCGTTTTGAAGGAAGGCCACAAAGTGGTGCAAATATCCACTTGCAGATTCTACAGAAAGAGTGTTTGAAAGCTGAACTATGAAACGAAGGTTCAGCCTGTGAGTTGAATGCAAACATCACAAAGAAGTTTCGGAGAATGCTTCCGATTACTTCTGTGAAGTTTATCCCGTTTCCAACGAAATCCTCAGAGAAGTCCAAATTTCCACTTGCAGATTCTACAAAAAGTGTGTTTGGTAACTGCTCCATCAAAACGAATGTTCAGCTCTCTGAGTTAAACTCAATCGTCACAAAGAATTTTCTGAGAGTGCTACTGTCTAGTTCTTATATGAAGTTCTTCCCCTTACTACCATAGGCCTCACAGCGGTCCAAATCTCCACTTGTAGATTCAACAGAAAGAGTGTTTCCAAACTGCTCTCTCAAAAGGAATGAATGTCCAACTCTGTGAGTTGAATGCTATCATCACAGAGTCGTTTCTGAGAGTGCTTCTATGTAGTTTTTATGAGAAGATATTCCCTTTTCCACCACAGTCCACAAAGCCCTCCCAATGTCCACCTGCAGATTCTAGAAAACGAGCATTTCAAAGGTGCTGTATCAGAGGGAAAGTTCGACTCTGTGAGGTGAATGCAAACATCACAAAGAAGTTTCTGAGAATGCTTCGGTTTAGCTTTTATGTGAAGTTTATCCCATTTCCAACAAAATCTTCGAAGAGGTCCAAATATCCACTGGCCGATCCCACAGAAAGAGTGTTTCGAAACTGCTGTTTCAAACGGAATCTTCAACTCTGCGAGTTGAATGCAATCATCACAAAGAAGTTTCTGACAATGCTTCTCTCTAGTTCTTATATGAAGATTTTTCCTTTTCCACCACAGGCCTGGAAGCCCTCCACATGTCCACTTGCAGATTCTACGAAAGGAGTGTCTCAAAACCGCTCTGTGAATAGCGAGGTTAAACTGTGTGACTCGAACACAAACAACACAAAGAAGTTTGTGAGAATGCTTCTGTTTAGTTTTTCTGTGAAGATATTCCCGTTCCAAAGAAATCTTCAAAGAAGTCCACATATCCTCTTACAGATTCTACAAAAAGAGAGTTTCCATACCGCTCAATCAAATGGAGGGTTCAACTCTGTGACTTGAATGCAATCATCACACAGAAGTTTCTGAGAATGCTTCTCTTGAGTTTTTACGTGAAGGTGTACCCGTTTCGAACGAAGGCCTCACAGTGGTCCAAATATCCACCTGCAGATTCTACCAAAAGAGTGTCTCAAAGCTGAACTATGAAAGGAAGGTTCAACTCTGTGAGTTGTATGCAAACATCACAAAGAAGTTTCGGAGAATGCTTCCGTGTAGTTCTGGGAAGTTTATCCCGTTTCCAATGCAATCCTCAGAGAGGTCCGAATATCCACCTGCAGATCCTACAAAAAGTGTGTTTGGAAACTGCTCCATCTAAAGGAATGTTCAGCACTCTCAGTTAAATACAATCATCGCAAATAATTTTCTGTGAATGCTTCAGTTTGGTTTTTATGTGAAGTTATTTCCTTTACTTCCGTAGGTCTCAAAGCCGTCCAAATCTCCAATTGCAGATTCTACAAAAAGAGTGTTTACAAACTGTTCTATCCATAGGAATGTCCAACTCTGTGAGTCCGATGCAATCATCACAAAGTGGTTTCTGAGAATGCTTCTATCTAGTTTTCATATGAAGATATTTCCCTTTCCACCGCAGGCCTCAAAGCCCTCCAAATGTCCACTTGCACATTCTAGAAAAAGAGCGTTTCATAGCTGCTCTTTCCAGAGGAAAGTTCAATTCCGGAAGTTGAACACAAACATCACAAAGTAGTTTCTGAGAATGCTTCTGTTTAGTTTTTATGTGAAGATGAACCCGTTTCCAACGAAATCTTCAAAGAGGTCCACATATCCACATGCAGATTCCAAAGAAAGGGAGTTTCAAAACTGCTCCGTCAACAGGATTGTTCAACTCTGTGAGTTGAATGCAGTCCTCACAGGAAACATTCTGAGAATGCTTCTGTCTAGGTTTGATGTGAAGATATACCCGTTTCGAAGGAAGGCCACAAAGTGGTGCAAATATCCACTTGCAGATTCTACAGAAAGAGTGTTTGAACGCTGAACTATGAAAGTAAGGTTCAACCCTGTGAGTTGAATGTAAACATCACAAAGAAGTTTCGGAGAATGCCTCCGATTACTTCTGGGAAGTTTATCCCCTTTCCAACGAAATCCTTAGAGAAGTCCAAATTTACATTTGCAAATTCTACCAAAAGTGTGTTTGGAAACTGCTCCATCAAAACGAATGTTCAGCTCTCTGAGTTAAAGTCCATCGTCACAAAGAATTTTCTGAGAGTGCTACTGTCTAGTTCTCATATGAAGTTCTTCCCTTTACTACCATAGGCCTCAAAGCGGTCCAAATCTCCACTTGCAGATTCGACAGAAAGAGTGTTTCCAAACTGCTCTCTCAAAAGGAATGAATGTCCAACTCTGTGAGTTGAATGCTATCATCACACAGTCGTTTCTGAGAGTGCTTCTATGTAGTTTTTATGAGAAGATATTCCCTTTTCCACCACAGTCCACAAATCCCTCCCAATGTCCACCTGCAGATTCTAGCAAACGAGCGTTTCAAAGGTGCTGTATCACAGGGAAAGTTCGACTCTGTGAGGTGAATGCAAACATCACAAAGAAGTTTCTGAGAATGCTTCGGTTTAGCTTTTATGTGAAGTTTATCCCATTTCCAACAAAATCTTCGAAGAGGTCCAAATATCCACTGGCCGATCCCACAGAAAGAGTGTTTCGAAACTGCTGTTTCAAACGGAATCTTCAACTCTGCGAGTTGAATGCAATCATCACAAAGAAGTTTCTGACAATGCTTCTCTCTAGTTCTTATGTGAAGATGTTTCCTTTTCCACCACAGGCCTGCAAGCGCTCCACATGTCCACTTGCAGATTCTATGAAAGGAGTGTCTCAAAACCGCTCTGTGAAAAGCGAGGTTAAACTGTGTGACTCGAACACAAACATCACAAAGAAGTTTGTGAGAATGCTTCAGTTTAGATTTTCTGTGAAGATATTCCCGTTTCCAAAGAAATCTTCAAAGAAGTCCGCATATCCTCTTACAGATTCTACAAAAAGAGAGTTTCCAAACTGCTCAATCAAATGGAGGGTTGAACTCTGTGACCTGAATGCAATCATCACACAGAAGTTTCTGAGAATGCTTCTCTTGAGTTTTACGTGAAGGTGTACCCGTTTCGAACGAAGGCCTCACAGTGGTCCAAATATCCACCTGCAGATTCTACCAAAAGAGTGTCTCAAAGCTGAACTATCAAAGGAAGGTTCAACTCTGTGAGTTGTATGCAAACATCACAAAGAAGTTTCGGAAAATGCTTCCGTGTAGTTCTGGGAAGATTATCCCTTTTCCAACGCAATCCTCAGAGAGGTCCGAATATCCACCTGCATATCCTACAAAAAGTGTGTTTGGAAACTGCTCCATCTAAAGGAATGTTCAGCTCTCTCAGTTAAATACAATCATTCCAAAGAATTTTCTGTGAATGCTTCAGTTTGGTTTTTATGTGAAGTTATTTCCTTTACTTCCGTAGGTCTCAAAGCTGTCCAAATCTCTGATTGCACATTCTACAAAAAGAGTGTTTACAAACTGTTCTATCCATAGGAATGTCCAACTCTGTGAGTCCGATGCAGTCATCCCAAAGTGGTTTCTGAGAATGCTTCTATCTAGTTTTCATGTGAAGATATTTCCCTTTCCACCGCAGGCCTCAAAGCCCTCCAAATGTCCACTTGCACATTCTAGAAAAAGAGCGTTTCATAGCTGCTCTTTCCAGAGGAAAGTTCAATTCCGGAAGTTGAACACAAACATCACAAAGTAGTTTCTGAGAAGGCTTCTGTTTAGTTTTCATGTGAAGATGAACCCGTTTCCAACGAAAACTTCAAAGAGGTCCACATATCCACTTGCAGATTCCAAAGAAAGGGAGTTTCGAAACTGCTCCGTCAACAGGGTTGTTCAACTCTGTGAGTTGAATGCAGTCCTCACAGGAAACATTCTGAGAATGCTTCTGTCTAGGTTTGATGTGAAGATATACCCGTTTCGAAGGAAGGCCACAAAGTGGTGCAAATATCCACTTGCAGATTCTGCAGAAAGAGTGTTTGAAAGCTGAACTATGAAAGGAAGGTTCAACCCTGTGAGTTGAATGCAAACATCACAAAGAAGTTTCAGAGAATGCTTCCGATTACTTCTGGGAAGTTTATCCCCTTTCCAACGAAATCCTTAGGGAAGTCCAAATTTACACTTGCAGATTCTACCAAAAGTGTGTTTGGAAACTGCTCCATCAAAACGAATGTTCAGCTCTCTGAGTTAAACTCCATCGTCACAAAGAATTTTCTGAGAGTGCTACTGTCTAGTTCTTATATGAAGTTCTTCCCTTTACTACCATAGGCCTCAAAGCGGTCCAAATCTCCACTTGCAGATTCGACAGAAAGAGTGTTTCCAAACTGCTCTCTCAAAACGAATGAATGTCCAAATCTGTGAGTTGAATGCTATCATCACAGAGTCGTTTCTGAGAGGGCTTCTATGTAGTTTTTATGAGAAGATATTCCCTTTTCCACCACAGTCCACAAAGCCCTCCCAATGTCCACCTGCAGATTCTAGCAAACGAGCATTTCAAAGGTGCTGTATCAGAGCAAAAGTTCGACTCTGTGAGGTGAATGCAAACATCACAAAGAAGTTTCTGAGAATGCTTCGGTTTAGCTTTTATGTGAAGTTTATGCCATTTCCAACGAAATCTTCAAAGAGGTCCAAATATCCACTGGCCGATCCCAAAGAAAGAGTGTTTCGAAACTGCTGTTTCAAACGGAATCTTCAACTCTGCGAGTTGAATGCAATCATCACAAAGAAGTTTCTGACAATGCTTCACTCTAGTTCTTATATGAAGATGTTTCCTTTTCCACCACAGGCCTGGAAGCCCTCCACATGTCCACTTGCAGATTCTACGAAAGGAGTGTCTCAAAACCGCTCTGTGAAAAGCGAGGTTAAACTGTGTGACCCGAACACAAACATCACAAAGAAGTTTGCGAGAATGCTTCAGTTTAGTTTTTCTGTGAAGATATTCCCGTTTCCAAAGAAATCTTCAAAGAAGTCCGCATATCCTCTTACAGATTCTACAAAAAGAGAGTTTCCAAACTGCTCAATCAAATGGAGGGTTCAACTCTGTGACCTGAATGCAATCATCACACAGAAGTTTCTGACAATGCTCCTCTTGAGTTTTTACGTGAAGGTGTACCTGTTTCGAACGAAGGCCTCACAGTGGTCCAAATATCCACCTGCAGATTCTACCAAAAGAGTGTCTCAAAGCTGAACTATGAAAGGAAGGTTCAACTCTGTGAGTTGTATGCAAACATCACAAAGAAGTTTCGGAGAATGCTTCCGTGTAGTTCTGGGAAGTTTATCCCGTTTCCAATGCAATCCTCAGAGAGGTCCGAATATCCACCTGCAGATCCTACAAAAAGTGTGTTTGGAAACTGCTCCGTCTAAAGGAATGTTCAGCTCTCTCAGTTAAATACAATCATCGCAAAGAATTTTCTGTGAATGCTTCCGTTTGGTTTTTATGTGAAGTTATTTCCTTTACTTCCGTAGGCCTCAAAGCCGTCCAAATCTCCAATTGCAGATTCTACAAAAAGAGTGTTTACAAACTGTTCTACCCATAGGAATGTCCAACTCTGTGAGTCCGATGCAATCATCAAAAAGTGGTTTCCGAGAATGCTTCTATCTAGGTTTTATGTGAAGATATTTCCTTTTCCACCACAGGCCTCAAAGCCCTCCAAATGTCCACTTGCGGATTCTAGACAAAGAGGGTTTCAGAGCTGCTCTGTCAAGAGGAAAGTTCAATTCTTGAAGTGGAACACAAACATCACAAAGCAGTTTCTGAGAATGCTTCTGTTTAGTTTTTATGTGAAGATGAACCCGTTTCCAACGAAAACTTCAAAGAGGTCCACATAGCCACTTGCAGATTCCAAAGAAAGGGAGTTTCGAAACTGCTCCGTCAACAGGATTGTTCAACTCTGTGAGTTGAATGCAGTCCTCACAGGAAACATTCTGAGAATGCTTCTGTGTAGGTTTGATGTGAAGATATACCCGTTTCGAAGGAAGGCCACAAAGTGGTGCAAATATCCACTTGCAGATTCTGCAGAAAGAGTGTTTGAACGCTGATCTATGAAAGGAAGGTTCAACCCTGTGAGTTGAATGCAAACATCACAAAGAAGTTTCGGAGAATGCTTCCGATTACTTCTGGGAAGTTTATCCCCTTTCCAACGAAATCCTTAGGGAAGTCCAAATTTACACTTGCAGATTCTACCAAAAGTGTGTTTGGAAACTGCTCCATCAAAACGAATGTTCAGCTCTCTGAGTTAAACTCCATCGTCACAAAGAATTTTCCGAGAATGCTACTGTCTAGTTCTTATATGAAGTTCTTCCCTTTACTACCATAGGCCTCAAAGCGGTCCAAATCTCCACTTGCAGATTCGACAGAAAGAGTGTTTCCAAACTGCTCTCTCAAAAGGAATGAATGTCTAACTCTGTGAGTTGAATGCTATCATCACAGAGTCGTTTCTGAGAGTGCTTCTATGTAGTTTTTATGAGAAGATATTCCCTTTTCCACCACAGTCCACAAAGCCCTCCAAATGTCCACCTGCAGATTCTAGAAAACGAGCGTTTCAAAGGTGCTGTATCAGAGGGAAAGTTCGACTCTGTGAGGTGAATGCAAACATCACAAAGAAGTTTCTGAGAATGCTTCGGTTTAGCTATTATGTGAAGTTTATCCCATTTCCAACGAAATCTTCAAAGAGGTCCAAATATCCACTGGCCGATCCCACAGAAAGAGTGTTTCGAACCTGCTGTTTCAAACGGAATCTTCAACTCTGTGAGTTCAATGCAATCATCACAAAGAAGTTTCTGACAATGCTTCTCTCTAGTTCTTATGTGAAGATGTTTCCTTTTCCACCACAGGCCTGGAAGCGCTCCACATGTCCACTTGCAGATTCTACGAAAGGAGTGTCTCAAAACCGCTCTGTGAAAAGCGAGGTTAAACTGGGTGACCCGAACACAAACATCACAAAGAAGTTTGCGAGAATGCTTCAGTATAGTTTTTCTGTGAAAATATTCCCGTTTCCAAAGAAATCTTCAAAGAAGTCCGCATATCCTCTTACAGATTCTACAAAAAGAGAGTTTCCAAACTGCTCAATCAAATGGAGGGTTCAACTCTGTGACTTGACTACAATCGTCACACAGAAGTTTCTGAGAATGCTCCTCTTGAGTTTTTACGTGAAGTTGTACCCGTTTCGAACGAAGGCCTCACAGTGGTCCAAATATCCACCTGCAGATTCTACCAAAAGAGTGTCTCAAAGCTGAACTATGAAAGGAAGGTTCAACTCTGTGAGTTGTATGCAAACATCACAAAGAAGTTTCGGAGAATGCTTCCGTGTAGTTCTGGGAAGTTTATCCCGTTTCCAATGCAATCCTCAGAGAGGTCCGAATATCCACCTGCAGATCCTACAAAAAGTGTTTTTGGAAACTGCTCCATCTAAAGGAATGCTCAGCTCTCTCAGTTAAATACAATCATCGCAAAGAATTTTCTGTGAATGCTTCCGTTTGGTTTTTATGTGAAGTTATTTCCTTTACTTCCGTAGGCCTCAAAGCCGTCCAAATCTCCAATTGCAGATTCTACAAAAAGAGTGTTTACAAACTGTTCTATCCATAGGAATGTCCAACTCTGTGAGTCCGATGCAATCATCCCAAAGTGGTTTCTGAGAATGCTTCTATCTAGTTTTCATGTGAAGATATTTCCCTTTCCACCGCAGGCCTCAAAGCCCTCCAAATGTCCACTTGCACATTCTAGAAAAAGAGTGTTTCATAGCTGCTCTTTCCAGAGGAAAGTTCAATTCCGGAAGTTGGACACAAACATCACAAAGTAGTTTCTGAGAATGCTTCTGTTTAGTTTTTATGTGAAGATGAACCCGTTTCCAACGAAATCTTCAAAGAGGTCCACATATCCACTTGCAGATTCCAAAGAAAGGGAGTTTCAAAACTGCTCCGTCAACAGGATTGTTCAACTCTGTGAGTTGAATGCAGTCCTCACAGGAAACATTCTGAGAATGCTTCTGTCTAGGTTTGATGTGAAGATATACCCGTTTCGAAGGAAGACCACAAAGTGGTGCAAATATCCACTTGCAGATTCTACAGAAAGAGTGTTTGAAAGCTGAACTATGAAACGAAGGTTCAGCCTGTGAGTTGAATGCAAACATCACAAAGAAGTTTCGGAGAATGCTTCCGATTACTTCTGGGAAGTTTATCCCCTTTCCAACGAAATCCTCAGAGAAGTCCAAATTTACACTTGCAGATTCTACAGAAAGTGTGTTTGGAAACTGCACCATCAAAACGAATGTTCAGCTCTCTTAGTTAAACTCCATCGTCACAAAGAATTTTCTGAGAGTGCTCCTGTCTAGTTCTTATATGAAGTTCTTTCCTTTACTACCATAGGCCTCAAAGCGGTCCAAATCTCCACTTGCAGATTCTGCAGAAAGAGTGTTTCCAAACTGCTCTCTCAAAAGGAATGTTCAACTCTGTGAGTTGAATGCTATCATCACAGAGTCGTTTCTGAGAGTGCTTCTGTGTAGTTTTTACGAGAAGATATTTCCTTTTCCACCACCATCCCCAAAGCCCTCCAAATGTCCACCTGCAGATTCTAGAAAACGAGCGTTTCAAAGGTGCTGTATCAGAGGGAATCTTCAACTCTGTGAGGTGAATGCAAACATCACAAAGAAGTTTCTGAGAATGCTTCGGTTTAGCTTTTATGTGAAGTTTATCCCATTTCCAACGAAATCTTCGAAGAGGCCCAAATATCCACGGGCCGATCCCACAGAAAGACTGTTTCGAAACTGCTGTTTCAAACGGAATCTTCAACTCTGTGAGTTGAATGTAATCACCACAAAGAAGTTTCTGACAATGCTTCTCTCTAGTTCTTATGTGAAGATGTTTCCTTTTCCACCACAGGCCTGGAAGCACTCCACATGTCCACTTGCAGATTCTACGAAAGGAGTGTCTCAAAACCGCTCTGTGAAAAGCGAGGTTAAACTGTGTGACTCGAACACAAACATCACAAAGAAGTTTGTGAGAATGCTTCAGTTTAGTTTTTCTGTGAAGATATTCCCGTTTCCAAAGGAATCTTCAAAGAAGTCCGCATATCCTCTTACAGATTGTACAAAAAGAGAGTTTCCAAACTGCTCAATCAAATGGAGGGTTCAACTCTGTGACCTGAATGCAATCATCACACAGAAGTTTCTGAGAATGCTCCTCTTGAGTTTTTACGTGAAGGTGTACCCGTTTCGAACGAAGGCCTCACAGTGGTCCAAATATCCACCTGCAGATTCTACCAAAAGAGTGTCTCAAAGCTGAACTATCAAAGGAAGGTTCAACTCTGTGAGTTGTATGCAAACATCACAAAGAAGTTTCGGAGAATGCTTCCGTGTAGTTCTGGGAAGTTTATCCCGTTTCCAACGCAATCCTCAGACGAGGTCCGAATATCCACCTGCAGATCCTACAAAAAGTGTGTTTGGAAACTGCTCCATCTAAAGGAATGTTCAGCTCTCTCAGTTAAATGCAATCATCGCAAAGAATTTTCTGTGAATGCTTCAGTTTGGTTTTTATGTGAAGTTATTTCCTTTACTTCCGTAGGTCTCAAAGCCGTCCAAATCTCCGATTGCAGATTCTACAAAAAGAGTGTTTACAAACTGTTCTATCCATAGGAATGTCCAACTCTGTGAGTCCGATGCAATCATCACAAAGTGGTTTCTGAGAATGCTTCTATCTAGTTTTTATGTGAAGATATTTCCTTTTCCACCGCAGGCCTCAAAGCCCTCCAAACGTCCACTTGCACATTCTAGAAAAAGAGTGTTTCATAGCTGCTCTTTCAAGAGGAAAGTTCAACTCTGGAAGTTGAACACAAACATCACAAAGTAGTTTCTGAGAATGCTTCTGTTTAGTTTTTCTGTGAAGATGAACCCGTTTCCAACGAAATCTTCAGAGAGGTCCACACATCCACTTGCAGATTCCAAAGAAAGAGAGTTTCAAAACTGCTCCATCAACAGGATTGTTCACCTCTGTGAGTTGAATGCAGTCATCACAGGAAACATTCTGAGAATGCTTCTGTCTAGGTTTGATGTGAAGATATACCCGTTTCGAAGGAAGGCCACAAAGTGGTGCAAATATCCACTTGCAGATTCTGCAGAAAGAGTGTTTGAAAGCTGAACTATGAAAGGAAGGTTCAACCCTGTGAGTTGAATGTAAACATCACAAAGAAGTTTCGGAGAATGCCTCCGATTACTTCTGGGAAGTTTATCCCCTTTCCAACGAAATCCTTAGAGAAGTCCAAATTTACACTTGCAAATTCTACCAAAAGTGTGTTTGGAAACTGCTCCATCAAAACGAATGTTCAGCTCTCTGAGTTAAACTCCATCGTCACAAAGAATTTTCTGAGAGTGCTACTGTCTAGTTCTTATATGAAGTTCTTCCCTTTACTACCATAGGCCTCAAAGCGGTCCAAATCTCCACTTGCAGATTCGACAGAAAGAGTGTTTCCAAACTGCTCTCTCAAAAGGAATGAATGTCCAACTCTGTGAGTTGAATGCTATCATCACACAGTCGTTTCTGAGAGTGCTTCTATATAGTTTTTATGAGAAGATATTCCCTTTTCCACCACAGTCCACAAAGCCCTCCAAATGTCCACCTGCAGATTCTAGAAAACGAGCGTTTCAAAGGTGCTGTATCAGAGGGAAAGTTCGACTCTGTGAGGTGAATGCAAACATCACAAAGAAGTTTCTGAGAATGCTTCGGTTTAGCTTTTATGTGAAGTTTATCCCATTTCCAACGAAATCTTCGAAGAGGTCCAAATATCCACTGGCCGATCCCACAGAAAGAGTGTTTTGAAACTGCTGTTTCAAACGGGATCTTCAACTCTGTGAGTTGAATGCAACCATCACAAAGACGTTTCTGACAATGCTTCTCTCTAGTTCTTATGTGAAGATGTTTCCTTTTCCACCACAGGCCTGGAAGCGCTCCACATGTCCACTTGCAGATTCTACGAAAGGAGAGTCTCAAAACCGCTCTGTGAAAAGCGAGGTTAAACTGTGTGACTTGAGCACAAACATCACAAAGAAGTTTGTGAGAATGCTTCAGTTTAGTTTTTCTGTGAAGATATTCCCGTTTCCAAAGAAATCTTCAAAGAAGTCCGCATATCCTCTTACAGATTCT
The DNA here is from genome assembly GCF_000001405.40 of Homo sapiens. Classification (NCBI taxonomy): domain Eukaryota; kingdom Metazoa; phylum Chordata; class Mammalia; order Primates; family Hominidae; genus Homo; species Homo sapiens. The sequence continues at coordinate 54,349,752 of NC_000011.10, read as the reverse complement.
ACAAAAAGAGAGTTTCCAAACTGCTCAATCAAATGGAGGGTTCAACTCTGTGACCTGAATGCAGTCATCACACAGAAGTTTCTGAGAATGCTTCTCTTGAGTTTTTACGTGAAGGTGTACCCGTTTCGAACGAAGGCCTCACAGTGGTCCAAATATCCACCTGCAGATTCTACCAAAAGAGTGTCTCAAAGCTGAACTATGAAAGGAAGGTTCAACTCTGTGAGTTGTATGCAAACATCACAAAGAAGTTTCGGAGCATGCTTCCGTGTAGTTCTGGGAAGTTTATCCCGTTTCCAATGCAATCCTCAGAGAGGTCCGAATATCCACCTGCAGATCCTACAAAAAGTGTGTTTGGAAACTGCTCCATCTAAAGGAATGTTCAGCTCTCACAGTTAAATACAATCATCGCAAAGAATTTTCTGTGAATGCTTCCGTTTGGTTTTTATGTGAAGTTATTTCCTTTACTTCCGTAGGTCTCAAAGCCGTCCAAATCTCCAATTGCAGATTCTACAAAAAGAGTGTGTACAAACTGTTCTATCCATAGGAATGTCCAACTCTGTGAGTCCGATGCAGTCATCCCAAGGTGGTTTCTGAGAATGCTTCTATCTAGTTTTCATGTGAAGATATTTCCCTTTCCACCACAGGCCTCAAAGCCCTCCAAATGTCCACTTGCACATTCTAGAAAAAGAGCGTTTCATAGCTGCTCTTTCCAGAGGAAAGTTCAATTCCGGAAGTTGAACACAAACATCACAAAGTAGTTTCTGAGAATGCTTCTGTTTAGTTTTTATGTGAAGATGAACCCGTTTCCAACGGAATCTTCAAAGAGGTCCACATATCCACTTGCAGATTCCAAAGAAAGGGAGTTTCAAAACTGCTCCATTAACAGGATTGTTCAACTCTGTGAGTTGAATGCAGTCCTCACAGGAAACATTCTGAGAATGCTTCTGTCTAGGTTTGATGTGAAGATATACCAGTTTCGAAGGAAGGCCACAAAGTGGTCCAAATATCCACTTGCACATTCTACAAAAAGAGTGTTTGAAAGCTGAACTATGAAAGCAAGGTTCAACTATGTGAGTTGAATGCAAACATCACAAAGTAGTTTCTGAAAATGCTTCCGATTACTTCTGGGAAGTTGATCCCCTTTCCAACGAAATCCTCGGAGAAGTCCAAATTTCCACTTGCAGATTCTACCAAAAGTGTGTTTGGAGACTGCTCCATCAAAACGAATGTTCAGCTCTCTGAGTTAAACTCCATCGTCACAAAGAATTTTCTGAGAATGCTACTGTCTAGTTCTTATATGAAGTTCTTCCCTTTACTACCATAGGCCTCAAAGCGGTCCAAATGTCCACTTGCAGATTCGACAGAAAGAGTGTTTCCAAACTGCTCTCTCAAAAGGAATGAATGTCCAACTCTGTGAGTTGAATGCTATCATCACAGAGTCGTTTCTGAGAGTGCTTCTATGTCGTTTTTATGAGAAGATATTCCTTTTCCACCACAGTCCACAAAGCCCTCCAAATGTCCACCTGCAGATTCTAGAAAACGAGCGTTTCAAAGGTGCTGTATCAGAGGGAAAGTTCGACTCTGTGAGGTGAATGCAAACATCACAAAGAAGTTTCTGAGAATGCTTCGGTTTAGCTTTTATGTGAAGTTTATGCCATTTCCAACGAAATTGCCAAAGAGGTCCAAATATCCACTGGCCGATCCCACAGAAAGAGTGTTTCGAAACTGCTGTTTCAAACGGAATCTTCAACTCTGCGAGTTGAATGCAATCATCACAAAGAAGTTTCTGACAATGCTTCTCTCTAGTTCTTATGTGAAGATGTTTCCTTTTCCACCACAGGCCTGGAAGCGCTCCACATGTCCACTTGCAGATTCTACAAAAGGAGTGTCTCAAAACCGCTCTGTGAAAAGCGAGGTTAAACTGTGTGACCCGAACACAAACATCACAAAGAAGTTTGCGAGAATGCTTGAGTTTAGTTTTTCTGTGAAGATATTCCCGTTTCCAAAGGAATCTTCAAAGAAGTCCGCATATCCTCTTACAGATTCTACAAAAAGAGAGTTTCCAAACTGCTCAATCAAATGGAGGGTTCAACTCTGTGACCTGAATGCAATCATCACACAGAAGTTTCTGAGAATGCTTCTCTTGAGTTGTTACGTGTAGATATACCCGTTTCGAACGAAGGCCTCACTGTGGTCCAAATATCCACCTGCAGATTTTACAAAAAGAGTGTCTCACAGCTGAACTACGAAAGGAAGGTTCAACTCTGTGAGTTGTATGCAAACATCACCAAGAAGTTTCGGAGAATGCTTCCGTGTATTTCTGGGAAGTGTATCCCGTTTCCAACGAAATCCTCAGAGAGGTCCGAATATCCACTTGCAGATCCTACAAAAAGTGTGATTGGAAACTGCTCCATCGAAAGGAATGTTCAGCTCTCTCAGTTAAATGCGATCATCACAAAGAATTTTCTGTGAATGCTCCGTTTGGTTTTTATATGAAGTTATTTCCTTTACTCCCCTAGGTCTCAAAGCAGTCCAAATCTCCAATTGCAGATTCTACAAAAAGACTGTTTACAAACTGTTCTATCCATTGGAATGCCCAACTCTGTGAGTCCGATGCAATCATCACAAAGTAATTTCTGAGAATGCTTTCTATCTAGTTTTCATGTGAAGATATTTCCCTTTCCACCGCAGGCCTCAAAGCCCTCCAAATGTCCACTTGCACATTCTAGAAAAAGAGCGTTTCATAGCTGCTCTTTCCAGTGGAAAGTTCAATTCCGGAAGTTGAACACAAACATCACAAAGTAGTTTCTGAGAATGCTTCTGTTTAGTTTTTATGTGAAGATGAACCCGTTTCCAACGAAATCTTCAAAGAGGTCCACAAATCCACTTGCAGATTCCAAAGAAAGGGAGTTTCAAAACTGCTCCGTCAACACGATTGTTCAACTCTGTGAGTTGAATGCAGTCCTCACAGGAAACATTCTGAGAATGCTTCTGTCTAGGTTTGATGTGAAGATATACCCGTTTCGAAGGAAGGCCACAAAGTGGTCCAAATATCCACTTGCAGATTCTACAGAAAGAGTGTTTGAAAGCTGATCTATGAAAGGAAGGTTCCACCCCGTGAGTTGAATGCAGACATCACAAAGAAGTTTCGGAGAATGCTTCCGATTACTTCTGGGAAGTTTATCACGTTTCCAACGAAATCCTCAGAGAAGTCCAAATTTCCACTTGCAGATTCTACAAAAAGTGTGTTTGGAAACTGCTCCATCAAAACGAATGTTCAGCTCTCTGAGTTAAACTCAATCGTCACAAAGAATTTTCTGAGAGTGCTACTGTCTAGTTCTTATATGAAGTTCTTCCCTTTACTACCATAGGCCTCAAAGCGGTCCAAATCTCCACTTACAGATTCGACAGAAAGAGTGTTTTCAAACTGCTCTCTCAAAAGGAATGAATGTCCAACTCTGTGAATTGAATGCTATCATCACAGAGTCGTTTCTGAGAGTGCTTCTATGTAGTTTTTATGAGAAGATATTCCCTTTTCCACCACAGTCCACAAAGCCCTCCAAATGTCCACCTGCAGATTCTAGAAAACGAGCATTTCAAAGTGCTGTATCAGAGGGAAAGTTCGACTCTGTGAGGTGAATGCAAACATCACAAAGAAGTTTCTGAGAATGCTTCGGTTTAGCTTTTATGTGAAGTTTACCCCATTTCCAACGAAATCTTCAAAGAGGTCCAAATATCCACTTGCGGATCCCACAGAAAGGGTGTTTCGAAACTGCTGTTTCAAAAGGAATCTTCAACTCTGTGAGTTGAATGCAGTCATCACAAAGAAGTTTCTGACAATGCTTCTGTCTAGTTTTTATGTGAAGATGTTTCCTTTTCCACCACAGGCCTGGAAGCGCTCCACATGTCCAATTGCAGATTCTACGAAAGGAGTGTTTCAAAACTGCTCTATGAGAAGCAATGTTAAACTGTGTGACTCGAACACAAACATCACAAAGAAGTTTGTGAGAATGCTTCAGTTTAGTTTTTCTGTGAAGATATTCCCGTTTCCAAGGAAATCTTCAAAGAAGTCCACATATCCTCTTACAGATTCCACAAAAAGAGAGTTTCCAAACTGCTCAATCAAATGGAGGGTTCAACTCTGTGACTTGAATGCAATCATCACACAGAAGTTTCTGAGAATGCTTCTCTTGAGTTGTTACGTGTAGATATACCCGTTTCGAACGAAGGCCTCACAGTGGTCCAAATATCCACCTGCAGATTCTACAAAAAAAGTGTCTCACAGCTGAACTACGAAAGGAAGGTTCAACTCTGTGAGTTGTATGCAAACATCACCAAGAAGTTTCGGAGAATGCTTCTGTGTAGTTCTGGGAAGTGTATCCCCTTTCCAACGAAATCCTCAGAGAGGTCCGAATATCCACTTGCAGATCCTACCAAAAGTGTGTTTGGAAACTGCTCCATCTAAAGGAATGTTCAGCTCTCTCAGTTAAATACGATCATCACAAAGAATTTTCTGTGAATGCTTCCATTTGGTTTTTATGTGAAGTTATTTCCTTTACTTCCATAGGCCTCAAAGCCGTCCAAATCTCCAATTGCAGATTCTACAAAAAGAGTGTTTACAAACTGTTCTATCCATAGGAATGTCCAACTCTGTGAGTCCGATGCAATCATCAAAAAGTGGTTTCTGAGAATGCTTCTATCTAGTTTTCATGTGAAGATATTTCCCTTTCCACCGCAGGCCTCAAAGCCCTCCAAATGTCCACTTGCACATTCTAGAAAAAGAGCGTTTCATAGCTTCTCTTTCCAGAGGAAAGTTCAATTCTGGAAGTTGGACACAAACATCACAAAGTAGTTTCTGAGAATGCTCCTGTTTAGTTGTTATGTGAAGATGAACCCGTTTCCAACGAAATCTTCAAAGAGGTCCACATATCCACTTGCGGATCCCAAAGAAAGGGAGTTTCAAAACTGCTCCATCAACAGGATTGTTCAACTCTGTGAGTTGAATGCAGTCATCACAGGAAACCTTCTGAGAATGCTTCTGTCTAGGTTTGATGTGAAGATATACCCGTTTTGAAGGAAGGCCACAAAGTGGTGAAAATATCCACTTGCAGATTCTACAGAAAGGGTGTTTGAAAGCTGAACTATGAAAGGAAGATTCAACCCTGTGAGTTGAATGCAAACATCACAAAGAAGTTTTGGAGAATGCTTCCGATTACTTCTGGGAAGTTTATCCCCTTTCCAACGAAATCCTTAGAGAAGTCCAAATTTCAACTTGCAGATTCTACCAAAAGTGTGTTTGGAAACTACTCCATCAAAACGAATGTTCAGCTCTCTGAGTTAAACTCCATCGTCACAAAGAATTTTCTGAGAGTGCTACTGTCTAGTTCTTATATGAAGTTCTTCCCTTTACTACCATAGGCCTCAAAGCGGTCCAAATCTCCACTTGCAGATTCGACAGAAAGAGTGTTTCCAAACTGCTCTCTCAAAAGGAATGAATGTCCAACACTGTGAGTTGAATGCAGTCCTCACAGGAAACATTCTGAGAATGCTTCTATGTCGTTTTTATGAGAAGATATTTCCTTTTCCACCACAGTCCACAAAGCCCTCCAAATGTCCACCTGCAGATTCTAGAAAACGAGCGTTTCAAAGGTGCTGTATCAGAGGGAAAGTTCGACTCTGTGAGGTGAATGCAAACATCACAAAGAAGTTTCTGACAATGCTTCTGTTTAGCTTTTATGTGAAGTTTATCCCATTTCCAACGAAATCTTCGAAGAGGTCCAAATATCCACGGGCCGATCCCACAGAAAGACTGTTTCGAAACTGCTGTTTCAAACGGAATCTTCAACTCTGTGAGTTGAATGCAATCACCACAAAGAAGTTTCTGACAATGCTTCTCTCTAGTTCTTATGTGAAGATGTTTCCTTTTCCACCACAGGCCTGGAAGCGCTCCACATGTCCACTTGCAGATTCTACAAAAGGAGTGTCTCAAAACCGCTCTGTGAAAAGCGAGGTTAAACTGTGTGACCCGAACACAAACATCACAAAGAAGTTTGCGAGAATGCTTCTGTTTAGTTTTTCTGTGAAGATATTCCCGTTCCAAAGAAATCTTCAAAGAAGTCCACATATCCTCTTACAGATTCTACAAAAAGAGAGTTTCCAAACCGCTCAATCAAATGGAGGCTTCAACTCTGTGACTTGAATGCAATCATCACACAGAAGTTTCTGAGAATGCTTCTCTTGAGTTTTTACGTGAATGTATACCCGTTTCGAACGAAGGCCTCACAGTGGTCCAAATATTCACCTGCAGATTCTACCAAAAGACTGTCTCAAAGCTGAACTATGAAAGGAACGTTCAACTCTGTGAGTTGTATGCAAACATCACAAAGAAGTTTCGGAGAATGCTTCCGTGTAGTTCTGGGAAGTGTATCCCGTTTCCAACGAAATCCTCAGAGATGTTCAAATATCCACTTGCAGATCCTACCAAAAGTGTGTTTGGAAACTGCTCCATCTAAAGGAATCTTCAGCTCTCTCAGTTAAATACGATCATCACAAAGAATTTTCTGTGAATGCTTCCATTTGGTTTTTATGTGAAGTTATTTCCTTTACTTCCGTAGGCCTCAAAGCCGTCCAAATCTCCAATTGCAGATTCTACAAAAAGAGTGTTTACAAACTGTTCTATCCATAGGAATGTCCAAATCTGTGAGTCCGATGCAATCATCACAAAGTGGTTTCTGAGAATGCTTCTATCTAGTTTTCATGTGAAGATATTTCCCTTTCCACCGCAGGCCTCAAAGCCCTCCAAATGTCCACTTGCACATTCTAGAAAAAGAGCGTTTCATAGCTGCTTTTTCCAGAGGAAAGTTCAATTCCGGAAGTTGAACACAAACATCACAAAGTAGTTTCTGAGAATGCTTCTGTTTAGATTTTATGTGAAGATGAACCCGTTTCCAACGAAATCTTCAAAGAGGTCCACATATCCACTTGCAGATTCCAAAGAAAGGGAGTTTCAAAACTGCTCCGTCAACAGGATTGTCCAACTCTGTGAGTTGAATGCAGTCCTCACAGGAAACATTCTGAGAATGCTTCTGTCTAGGTTTGATGTGAAGATATACCCGTTTCGAAAGAAGGCCACAAAGTTGTGCAAATATCCACTTGCAGATTCTACAGAAAGAGTGTTTGAAAGCTGAACTATGGAAGGATGGTTCAGCCTGTGAGTTGAATGCAAACATCACAAAGAAGTTTCGGAGAATGCT
>NC_000011.10:51090417-51120633 GCF_000001405.40 Homo sapiens | reverse complement strand
TGAGATACGTCCCATCAATACCTAATTTATGAGAGTTTTATCCTGAAGTGTGCTGAATTTGTCAAAGGCCTTTTCTGCATCTATTGAGATAATCATGTGGTTTTTGTCTTTGGCTCTGTTTATATCATGGATTACATTTATTGATTTGCATATATTGAACCAGCCTTGCATCACAGGGATGAAGCCCACTTGATCATGGTGGATAAGCTTTTTGATGTGCTGCTGGATTGGGTTTACCAGTATTTTATTGAGGATTTTTGCATCGATGTTCATGAAGGGTATTGGTATAAAATTCACTTTTTTGTTGTGTCTCTGGAGGGCTTTGGTATCAGAATGATGCTGGCCTCTTAAAATGAGTTAGGGAGGATTCTCTCTTTTTCTATTGCTTGGAATAGTTTCAGAAGGAATGGTACCAGTTCCTCCTTGTACCTCTGGTAGAATTCGGCTGTGAATCCATCTGGTCCTGGACCTTTTTTGGTTGGTAAGCAATTGATTATTGCCACAATTTTAGCTCCTGTTATTGGTCTATTCAGAGATTCAACTTATTCCTGGTTTAGTCTTCGGAGAGTGTATGTGTCAAGGAATTTATCCATTTCTTCTAGATTTTTCTAGAAAATTTTCTGAGAATGCTTCTGTCTAGGTTTGATGTGAAGATATACCCGTTTCGAAGGAAGGCCACAAAGTGGTCCAAATATCCACTTGCAGATTCTACAAAAAGAGTGTTTGAAAGCTGAACTATGAAAGCAAGGTTCAACTCTGTGAGTTGAATGCAAACATCACAAAGAAGTTTCTCACAATGCTTCCGTGTAGTTCTGGGAAGTTTATCCCGTTTCCAACGAAATCCTCAGAGAAGTCCAAATATCCACTTGCAGATTCTACAGAAAGTGTGTTTGGAAAATGCTCCATCTAAAGGAATGTTCAGCTCTGTTAGTTCAATGCAATGATCACTAAGAATTGTCTGTGAATGCTTCCGTTTGGTTTTTAGATGAAGTTATTTCCTTTACTACAGTAGGCCTCAAAGCAGTCCAAATCTCCAATCGCAGATTCTACAAAAAGATTGTTTACAACCTGCTCTATCTATAGGAATGTTCAACTCTGTGAGTCGAATGCAATCATCACAAAGTAGTTTCTGAGAATGCTTCCATCTAGTTTTTATGTGAAGATTTTCCTTTTCCACCACAGGCCTCAAAGCCCTCCAAATGTCCACTTGCAGATTCTAGAATAAGAGGGTTTCAGAGCTGCTCTGTCAAGAGGAAAGTTCAATTGTTGAAGTGGAACACAAACATCACAAAGCAGTTTCTGAGAATGCTCCTGTTTAGTTTTTCTGTGAAGATGAACTCGTTTCCAACGAAATCTTCACAGAGGTCCACATATCCACTTGCAGAATCCAAAGAAAGAGAGTTTCAAAACTGCTCCAACAGCAGGATTGTTCACCTCTGTGAGTTGAATGCAGTCATCACAGGAAACATTCTGAGAATGCTTCTGTCTAGGTTTGATGTGAAGATATACCCGTTTCGAAGGAAGGCCACAAAGTGGTCCAAATATCCACTTGCAGATTCTACAAAAAGAGTGTTTGAAAGCTGAACTATGAAAGCAAGGTTCAACTCTGTGAGTTGAATGCAAACATCACAAAGAAGTTTCTCACAATGCTTCCGTGTAGTTCTGGGAAGTTTATCCCGTTTCCAACGAAATCCTCAGAGAAGTCCGAATATCCACTTGCAGATTCTACAGAAAGTGTGTTTGGAAACTGCTCCATCTAAAGGAATGTTCAGCTCTGTTAGTTCAATCCAATGATCACTAAGAATTGTCTGTGAATGCTTCCGTTTGGTTTTTAGATGAAGTTATTTCCTTTACTACAGTAGGCCTCAAAGCAGTCCAAATCTCCAATCGCAGATTCTACAAAAAGATTGTTTACAACCTGCTCTATCTATAGGAATGTTCAACTCTGTGAGTCGAATGCAATCATCACAAAGTAGTTTCTGAGAATGCTTCCATCTAGTTTTTATGTGAAGATTTTCCTTTTCCACCACAGGCCTCAAAGCCCTCCAAATGTCCACTTGCAGATTCTAGAAAAACAGGGTTTCAGAGCTGCTCTGTCAAGAGGAAAGTTCAATTCTTGAAGTGGAACACAAACATCACAAAGTAGTTTCTGAGAATGCTTCTGTTTAGTTTTTCTGTGAAGATGAACCCGTTTCCAACGAAATCTTCACAGAGGTCCACATATCAACTTGCAGAATCCAAAGAAAGAGAGTTTCAAAAGTGCTCCATCAACAGGATTGTTCACCTCTGTGAGTTGAATGCAGTCATCACAGGAAACATTCTGAGAATGCTTCTGTCTAGGTTTGATGTGAAGATATACCCGTTTCGAAGGAAGGCCACAAAGTGGTCCAAATATCCACTTGCAGATTCTACAAAAAGAGTGTTTGAAAGCTGAACTATGAAAGCAAGGTTCAACTCTGTGAGTTGAATGCAAACATCACAAAGAAGTTTCTCAGCATGCTTCCGTGTAGTTCTGGGAAGTTTATCCCGTTTCCAACGAAATCCTCAGAGAAGTCCAAATATCCACTTGCAGATTCTACAGAAAGTGTGTTTGGAAACTGCTCCATCTAAAGGAATGTTCAGCTCTGTTAGTTCAATGCAATGATCACTAAGAATTGTCTGTGAATGCTTCCGTTTGGTTTTTAGATGAAGTTATTTCCTTTACTACAGTAGGCCTCAAAGCAGTCCAAATCTCCAATCGCAGATTCTACAAAAAGATTGTTTACAACCTGCTCTATCTATAGGAATGTTCAACTCTGTGAGTCGAATGCAATCATCACAAAGTAGTTTCTGAGAATGCTTCCATCCAGTTTTTATGTGAAGATTTTCCTTTTCCACCACAGGCCTCACAGCCCTCCAAATGTCCACTTGCAGATTCTAGAAAAAGAGGGTTTCAGAGCTGCTCTGTCAAGAGGAAAGTTCAATTCTTGAAGTGGAACACAAACATCACAAAGTAGTTTCTGAGAATGCTCCTGTTTAGTTTTTCTGTGAAGATGAGCCCGTTTCCAACGAAATCTTCACAGAGGTCCACATATCCACTTGCAGAATCCAAAGAAAGAGAGTTTCAAAACTGCTCCATCAGTAGGATTGTTCACCTCTGTGAGTTGAATGCAGTCATCACAGGAAACATTCTGAGAATGCTTCTGTCTAGGGTTGATGTGAAGATATACCCGTTTCGAAGGAAGGCCACAAAGTGGTCCAAATATCCACTTGCAGATTCTACAAAAAGAGTGTTTGAAAGCTGAACTATGAAAGCAAGGTTCAACTCTGTGAGTTGAATGCAAACATCACAAAGAAGTTTTCTCAGAATGCTTCCGTGTAGTTCTGGGAAGTTTATCCCGTTTCCAACGAAATCCTCACAGAAGTCCAAATATCCACTTGCAGATTCTACAGAAAGTGGGTTTGGAAACTGCTCCATCTAAAGGAATGTTCAGCTCTGTTAGTTCAATCCAATGATCACTAAGAATTGTCTGTGAATGCTTCCGTTTGGTTTTTAGATGAAGTTATTTCCTTTACTACAGTAGGCCTCAAAGCAGTCCAAATCTCCAATCGCAGATTCTACAAAAAGATTGTTTACAACCTGCTCTATCTATAGGAATGTTCAACTCTGTGAGTCGAATGCAATCATCACAAAGTAGTTTCTGAGAATGCTTCCATCTAGTTTTTATGTGAAGATTTTCCTTTTCCACCACAGGCCTCAAAGCCCTCCAAATGTCCACTTGCAGATTCTAGAAAAAGAGGGTTTCAGAGCTGCTCTGTCAAGAGGAAAGTTCAATTCCTGAAGTGGAACACAAACATCACAAAGCAGTTTCTGAGAATGCTCCTGTTTAGTTTCTCTGTGAAGATGAACCCTTTTCCAACGAAATCTTCACAGAGGTCCACAAATCCACTTGCAGAATCGAAAGAAAGAGAGTTTCAAAACTGCTCCATCAGCAGGATTGTTCACCTCTGTGAGTTGAATGCAGTCATCACAGGAAACATTCTGAGAATGCTTCTGTCTAGGTTTGATATGAAGATATACCCGTTTCGAAGGAAGGCCACAAAGTGGTCCAAATATCCACTTGCAGATTCTACAAAAAGAGTGTTTGAAAGCTGAACTGTGAAAGCAAGGTTCAACTCTGTGAGTTGAATGCAAACATCACAAAGAAGTTTCTCAGAATGCTTCCGTGTAGTTCTGGGAAGTTTATCCCGTTCCCAACGAAATCCTCAGAGAGGTCCAAATATCCACTTGCAGATTTTACAGAAAGTGTGTTTGGAAACTGCTCCATCTAAAGGAATATTCAGCTCTGTTAGTTCAATCCAATGATCACTAAGAATTGTCTGTGAATGCTTCCGTTTCGTTTTTAGATGAAGTTATTTCCTTTACTACAGTAGGCCTCAAAGCAGTCCAAATCTCCAATCGCAGATTCTACAAAAAGATTGTTTACAACCTGCTCTATCTATAGGAATGTTCAACTCTGTGAGTCGAATGCAATCATCACAAAGTAGTTTCTGAGAATGCTTCCATCTAGTTTTTATGTGAAGATTTTCCTTTTCCACCACAGGCCTCAAAGCCCTCCAAATGTCCACTTGCAGATTCTAGAATAAGAGGGTTTCAGAGCTGCTCTGTCAAGAGGAAAGTTCAATTCCTGAAGTGGAACACAAACATCACAAAGCAGTTTCTGAGAATGCTTCTGTTTAGTTTTTCTGTGAAGATGAACCCGTTTCCAACGAAATCTTCACAGAGGTCCACATATCCACTTGCAGAATCCAAAGAAAGAGAGTTTCAAAACTGCTCCATCAGCAGGATTGTTCACCTCTGTGAGTTGAATGCAGTCATCACAGGAAACATTCTGATAATGCTTCTGTCTAGGTTTGATGTGAAGATATACCCGTTTCGAAGGAAGGCCACAAAGTGGTCCAAATATCCACTTGCAGATTCTACAAAAAGAGTGTTTGAAAGCAGAACTATGAAAGCAAAGTTCAACTCTGTGAGTTGAATGCAAACATCACAAAGAAGTTTCTCAGAATGCTTCCGTGTAGTTCTGGGAAGTTTATCCCGTTTCCAACGAAATCCTCAGAGAGGTCCAAATATCCACTTGCAGATTCTACAGAAAGTGTGTTTGGAAACTGCTCCATCTAAAGGAATGTTCAGCTCTGTTAGTTCAATCCAATGATCACTAAGAATTGTCTGTGAATGCTTCCGTTTGGTTTTTAGATGAAGTTATTTCCTTTACTACAGTAGGCCTCAAAGCAGTCCAAATCTCCAATCGCAGATTCTACAAAAAGATTGTTTACAACCTGCTCTATCTATAGGAATGTTCAACTCTGTGAGTCGAATGCAATCATCACAAAGTAGTTTCTGAGAATGCTTCCATCTAGTTTTTATGTGAAGATTTTCCTTTTCCACCACAGGCCTCAAAGCCCTCCAAATGTCCACTTGCAGATTCTAGAAAAAGAGGGTTTCAGAGCTGCTCTGTCAAGAGGAAAGTTCAATTCTTGAAGTGGAACACAAACATCACAAAGCAGTTTCTGAGAATGTTTCTGTTTAGTTTTTCTGTGAAGATGAACCCGTTTCCAACGAAATCTTCACAGAGGTCCACATATCCACTTGCAGAATCCAAAGAAAGAGAGTTTCAAAACTGCTCCATCAGCAGGATTGTTCACCTCTGTGAGTTGAATGCAGTCATCACAGGATACATTCGAAGAATGCTTCTGTCTAGGTTTGATGTGAAGATATACCCGTTTCGAAGGAAGGCCACAAAGTGGTCCAAATATCCACTTGCAGATTCTACAAAAAGAGTGTTTGAAAGCTGAACTATGAAAGCAAGGTTCAACTCTGTGAGTTGAATGCAAACATCACAAAGAAGTTTCTCACAATGCTTCCGTGTAGTTCTGGGAAGTTTATCCCGTTTCCAACGAAATCCTCAGAGAAGTCCAAATATCCCCTTGCAGATTCTACAGAAAGTGGGTTTGGAAACTGCTCCATCTAAAGGAATGTTCAGCTCTGTTAGTTCAATCCAATGATCACTAAGAATTGTCTGTGAATGCTTCCGTTTGGTTTTTAGATGAAGTTATTTCCTTTAGTACAGTAGGCCTCAAAGCAGTCGAAATCTCCAATCGCAGATTCTACAAAAAGATTGTTTACAACCTGCTCTATCTATAGGAATGTTCAACTCTGTGAGTCGAATGCAATCATCACAAAGTAGTTTCTGAGAATGCTTCCATCTAGTTTTTATGTGAAGATTTTCCTTTTCCACCACAGGCCTCAAAGCCCTCCAAATGTCCACTTGCAGATTCTAGAAAAAGAGGGTTTCAGAGCTGCTCTGTCAAGAGGAAAGTTCAATTCTTGAAGTGGAACACAAACATCACAAAGTAGTTTCTGAGAATGCTTCTGTTTAGTTTTTCTGTGAAGATGAACCCGTTTCCAACGAAATCTTCACAGAGGTCCACATATCAACTTGCAGAATCCAAAGAAAGAGAGTTTCAAAAGTGCTCCATCAACAGGATTGTTCACCTCTGTGAGTTGAATGCAGTCATCACAGGAAACATTCTGAGAATGCTTCTGTCTAGGTTTGATGTGAAGATATACCCGTTTCGAAGGAAGGCCACAAAGTGGTCCAAATATCCACTTGCAGATTCTACAAAAAGAGTGTTTGAAAGCTGAACTATGAAAGCAAGGTTCAACTCTGTGAGTTGAATGCAAACATCACAAAGAAGTTTCTCAGCATGCTTCCGTGTAGTTCTGGGAAGTTTATCCCGTTTCCAACGAAATCCTCAGAGAGGTCCAAATATCCACTTGCAGATTCTACAGAAAGTGGGTTTGGAAACTGCGCCATCTAAAGCAATGTTCAGCTCTGTTTGTTCAATGCAATGATCACTAAGAATTGTCCTGTGAATGCTTCCGTTTGGTTTTTAGATGAAGTTATTTCCTTTACTACAGTAGGCCTCAAAGCAGTCCAAATCTCCAATCGCAGATTCTACAAAAAGATTGTTTACAACCTGCTCTATCTATAGGAATGTTCAACTCTGTGAGTCGAATGCAATCATCACAAAGTAGTTTCTGAGAATGCTTCCATCTAGTTTTTATGTGAAGATTTTCCTTTTCCACCACAGGCCTCAAAGCCCTCCAAATGTCCACTTGCAGATTCTAGAAAAAGAGGGTTTCATTGCTGCTCTGTCAAGAGGAAAGTTCAATTCTTGAAGTGGAACACAAACATCACAAAGCAGTTTCTGAGAATGCTTCTGTTTAGTTTTTCTGTGAAGATGAACCCGTTTCCAACGAAATCTTCACAGATGTCCACATATCAACTTGCAGAATCCAAAGAAAGAGAGTTTCAAAAGTGCTTCATCAACAGGATTGTTCACCTCTGTGAGTTGAATGCAGTCATCACAGGAAACATTCTGAGAATGCTTCTGTCTAGGTTTGATGTGAAGATATACCCGTTTCGAAGGAAGGCCACAAAGTGGTCCAAATATCCACTTGCAGATTCTACAAAAAGAGTGTTTGAAAGCTGAACTATGAAAGCAAGGTTCAACCCTGTGAGTTGAATGCAAACATCACAAAAAAGTTTCTCACAATGCTTCCGTGTAGTTCTGGGAAGTTTATCCCTTTTCCAACGAAATCCTCAGAGAGGTCCAAATATCCACTTGCAGATTCTACAGAAGGTGTGTTTGGAAACTGCTCCATCTAAAGGAATGTTCAGCTCTGTTAGTTCAATCCAATGATCACTAAGAATTGTCTGTGAATGCTTCCGTTTGGTTTTTAGATGAAGTTATTTCCTTTACTACAGTAGGCCTCAAAGCAGTCCAAATCTCCAATCGCAGATTCTACAAAAAGATTGTTTACAACCTGCTCTATCTATAGGAATGTTCAACTCTGTGAGTCGAATGCAATCATCACAAAGTAGTTTCTGAGAATGCTTCCATCTAGTTTTTATGTGAAGATTTTCCTTTTCCACCACAGGCCTCAAAGCCCTCCAAATGTCCACTTGCAGATTCTAGAATAAGAGGGTTTCAGAGCTGCTCTGTCAAGAGGAAAGTTCAATTCCTGAAGTGGAACACAAACATCACAAAGCAGTTTCTGAGAATGCTTCTGTTTAGTTTTTCTGTGAAGATGAACCCGTTTCCAACGAAATCTTCACAGAGGACCACATATTCACTTGCAGAATCCAAAGAAGGAGAGTTTCAAAAGTGCTCCATCAGCAGGATTGTTCACCTCTGTGAGTTGAATGCAGTCATCACAGGAAACATTCTGAGAATGCTTCTGTCTAGGTTTGATGTGAAGATATACCCGTTTCGAAGGAAGACCACAAATGGTCCAAATATCCACTTGCAGATTCTACAAAAAGAGTGTTTGAAAGCTGAACTATGAAAGCAAGGTTCAACTCTGTGAGTTGAATGCAAACATCACAAAGAAGTTTCTCAGAATGCTTCCGTGTAGTTCTGGGAAGTTTATCCCGTTTCCAACGAAATCCTCAGAGAAGTCCAAATATCCACTTTCAGATTCTACAGAAAGTGTGTTTGGAAACTGCTCCATCTAAAGGAATGTTCAGCTCTGTTAGTTCAATCCAATGATCACTAAGAATTGTCTGTGAATGCTTCCGTTTGGTTTTTAGATGAAGTTATTTCCTTTACTACAGTAGGCCTCAAAGCAGTCCAAATCTCCAATCGCAGATTCTACAAAAAGATTGTTTACAACCTGCTCTATCTATAGGAATGTTCAACTCTGTGAGTCGAATGCAATCATCACGAAGTAGTTTCTGAGAATGCTTCCATCTAGTTTTTATGGGAAGATTTTCCTTTTCCACCACAGGCCTCAAAGCCCTCCAAATGTCCACTTGCAGATTCTAGAAAAAGAGGGTTTCAGAGCTGCTCTGTAAAGAGGAAAGTTCAATTCTTGAAGTGGAACACAAACATCACAAAGCAGTTTCTGAGAATGCTTCTGTTTAGTTTTTCTGTGAAGATGAACCCGTTTCCAACGAAATCTTCACAGAGGTCCACATATCCACTTGCAGAATCCAAAGAAAGAGAGTTTCAAAAGTGCTCCATCAACAGGATTGTTCACCTCTGTGAGTTGAATGCAGTCATCACAGGAAACATTCTGAGAATGCTTCTGTCTAGGTTTGATGTGAAGATATACCCGTTTCGAAGGAAGGCCACAAAGTGGTCCAAATATCCACTTGCAGATTCTACAAAAAGAGTGTTTGAAAGCTGAACTATGAAAACAAGGTTCAACTCTGTGAGTTGAATGCAAACATCACAAAGAAGTTTCTCAGAATGCTTCCGTGTAGTTCTGGGAAGTTTATCCCGTTTCCAACGAAATCCTCAGAGAAGTCCAAATATCCACTTGTAGATTCTACAGAAAGTGTGTTTGGAAACTGCTCCATCTAAAGGAATGTTCAGCTCTGTTAGTTCAATCCAATGATCACTAAGAATTGTCTGTGAATGCTTCCGTTTGGTTTTTAGATGAAGTTATTTCCTTTACTACAGTAGGCCTCAAAGCAGTCCAAATCTCCAATCGCAGATTCTACAAAAAGATTGTTTACAACCTGGTATATCTATAGGAATGTTCAACTCTGTGAGTCGAATGCAATCATCACAAAGTAGTTTCTGAGAATGCTTCCATCTAGTTTTTATGTGAAGATTTTCCTTTTCCACCACAGGCCTCAAAGCCCTCCAAATGTCCACTTGCAGATTCTAGAATAAGAGGGTTTCAGAGCTGCTCTGTCAAGAGGAAAGTTCAATTCCTGAAGTGGAACACAAACATCACAAAGCAGTTTCTGAGAATGCTTCTGTTTAGTTTTTCTGTGAAGACGAACCCGTTTCCAACGAAATCTTCACAGAGGTCCACATATCCACTTGCAGAATCCAAAGAAAGAGAGTTTCAAAACTGCTCCATCAGCAGGATTGTTCACCTCTGTGAGTTGAATGCAGTCATCACAGGAAACATTCTGAGAATGCTTCTGTCTAGGTTTGATGTGAAGATATACCCGTTTCGAAGGAAGGCCTCAAAGTGGTCCAAATATCCACTTGCAGATTCTACAAAAAGAGTGTTTGAAAGCTGAACTATGAAAGCAAGGTTCAATTCTGTGAGTTGAATGCAAACATCACAAAGAAGTTTCTCAGAATGCTTCCGTGTTAGTTCTGGGAAGTTTAACCCGTTTCCAACGAAATCCTCGGAGAGGTCCAAATATCCACTTGCAGATTCTACAGAAAGTGTGTTTGGAAACTGCTCCATCTAAAGGAATGTTCAGCTCTGTTAGTTCAATCCAATGATCACTAAGAATTGTCTGTGAATGCTTCCGCTTGGTTTTTCGATGAAGTTATTTCCTTTACTAGAGTAGGCCTCAAAGAAGTCCAAATCTCCAATCGCAGATTCTACAGAAAGATTGTTTACAACCTGCTCTATCTATAGGAATTTTCAACTCTATGAGTCGAATGCAATCATCACAAAGTAGTTTCTGAGAATGCTTCCATCTAGTTTTTATGTGAAGATTTTCCTTTTCCACCACAGGCCTCAGAGCCCTCCAAATGTCCACTTGCAGATTCTAGAAAAAGAGGGTTTCAGAGCTGCTCAGTCAAGAGGAAAGTTGAATTCTTGAAGTGGAACACAAACACCACAAAGCAGTTTCTGAGAATGCTCCTGTTTAGTTTTTCTGTGAAGATGAACCCGTTTCCAACGAAATCTTCACAGAGGTCCACATATCCACTTGCAGAATCCAAAGAAAGAGAGTTTCAAAACTGCTCCATCAGCAGGATTGTTCACCTCTGTGAGTTGAATGCAGTCATCACAGGAAACATTCTGAGAATGCTTCTGTCTAGGTTTGATGTGAAGATATACCCGTTTCGAAGGAAGGCCACAAAGTGGTCCAAATATCCACTTGCAGATTCTACAAAAAGAGTGTTTGAAAGCTGAACTATGAAAGCAAGGTTCAACTCTGTGAGTTGAATGCAAACATCACAAAGAAGTTTCTCACAATGCTTCCGTGTAGTTCTGGGAACTTTATTCCGTTTCCAACGAAATCCTCAGAGAAGTCCAAATATCCACTTGCAGATTCTACAGAAAGTGGGTTTGGAAACTGCTCCATCTAAAGGAATGTTCAGCTCTGTTAGTTCAATCCAATGATCACTAAGAATTGTCTGTGAATGCTTCCGTTTGGTTTTTAGATGAAGTAATTTCCTTTACTACAGTAGGCCTCAAAGCAGTCCAAATCTCCAATCGCAGATTCTACAAAAAGATTGTTTACAACCTGCTCTATCTATAGGAATGTTCAACTCTGTGAGTCGAATGCAATCATCACAAAGAAGTTTCTGAGAATGCTTCCATCTAGTTTTTATGTGAAGATTTTCCTTTTCCACCACAGGCCTCAAAGCCCTCCAAATGTCAACTTGCAGATTCTAGAAAAAGAGGGTTTCAGAGCTGCTCTGTCAAGAGGAAAGTTCAATTCCTGAAGTGGAACACAAACATCACAAAGCAGTTTCTGAGAATGCTGCTGTTTAGTTTTTCTGTGAAGATGAACCCGTTTCCAACGAAATCTTCACAGAGGTCCACATATCCACTTGCAGAATCCAAAGAAAGAGAGTTTCAAAACTGCTCCATCAGCAGGATTGTTCACCTCTGTGAGTTGAATGCAGTCATCACAGGAAACAATCTGAGAATGCTTCTGTCTAGGTTTGATGTGAAGATATACCCGTTTTGAAGGAAGGCCACAAAGTGGTCCAAATATCCACTTGCAGATTCTACAAAAAGAGTGTTTGAAAGCTGAACTATGAAAGCAAGTTTCAACTCTGTGAGTTGAATGCAAACATCACAAAGAAGTTTCTCAGAATGCTTCCGTGTACTTCTGGGAAGTTTATCCCGTTTCCAACGAAATCCTCATAGAGGTCCAAATATCCACTTGCAGATTCTATAGAAAGTGTGTTAGGAAACTGCGCCATCTAAAGGAATTGTTCAGCTCTGTTAGTTCAATCCAATGATCACTAAGAATTGTCTATGAATGCTTCCGTTTGGTTTTTAGATGAAGTTATTTCCTTTACTACAGTAGGCCTCAAAGCAGTCCAAATCTCCAATCGCAGATTCTACAAAAAGATTTTTTACAACCTGCTCTATCTACAGGAATGTTCAACTCTGTGAGTCGAATGGAATCATCACAAAGTAGTTTCTGAGAATGCTTCCATCTAGTTTTTATGTGAAGATTTTCCTTTTCCACCACAGGCCTCAAAGCCCTCCAAATGTCCACTTGCAGATTCTTCAAAAAGAGGGTTTCAGAGCTGCTCTGTCAAGAGGAAAGTTCAATTCTTGAAGTGGAACACAAACATCACAAAGCAGTTTCTGAGAATGCTTCTGTTTAGTTTTTCTGTGAAGATGAACCAGTTTCCAACGAAATCTTCACAGAGGTCCACATATCAACTTGCAGAATCCAAAGAAAGAGAGTTACAAAACTGTTCCATCAACAGGATTGTTCACCTCTGTGAGTTGAATGCAGTCATCACAGGAAACATTCTGAGAATGCTTCTGTCTAGGTTTGATGTGAAGATACACCCTTTTCAAAGGAAGGCCACAAAGTGGTCCAAATATCCACTTGCAGATTCTACAAAAAGAGTGTTTGAAAGCTGAACTATGAAAGCAAGGTTCAACTCTGTGAGTTGAATGCAAACATCACAAAGAAGTTTCTCAGAATGCTTCCGTGTAGTTCTGGGAAGTTTATCCCGTTTCCAACGAAATCCTCAGAGAAGTCCACATATCCACTTGCAGATTCTACAGAAAGTGTGTTTGGAAACTGCACCATCTAAAGGAATGTTCAGCTCTGTTAGTTCAATGCAATGATCACTAAGAATTGTCTGTGAATGCTTCCGTTTGGTTTTTAGATGAAGTTATTTCCTTTACTACAGTAGGCCTCAAAGCAGTCCAAATCTCCAATTGCAGATTCTACAAAAAGATTGTTTACAACCTGCTCTATCTATAGGAATGTTCAACTCTGTGAGTCGAATGCAATCATCACAAAGTAGTTTCTGATAATGCTTCCATCTAGTTTTTATGTGAAGATTTTCCTTTTCCACCACAGGCCTCAAAGCCCTCCAAATATCCACTTGCAGATTCTACAAAAAGAGTGTTTGAAAGCTGAACTATGAAAGCAAGGTTCAACTCTGTGAGTTGAATGCAAACATCACAAAGAAGTTTCTCACAATGCTTCCGTGTAGTTCTGGGAAGTTTATCCCGTTTCCAACGAAATCCTCAGAGAAGTCCAAATATCCACTTGCAGATTCTACAGAAAGTGGGTTTGGCAACTGCTCCATCTAAAGGAATGTTCAGCTCTGTTAGTTCAATCCAATGATCACTAAGAATTGTCTGTGAATGCTTCCGTTTGGTTTTTAGATGAAGTTATTTCCTTTACTACAGTAGGCCTCAAAGAAATCCAAATCTCCAATCGCAGATTCTACAAAAACATTGTTTACAACCTGCTCTATCTATAGGAATGTTCAACTCTGTGAGTCGAATGCAATCATCACAAAGTAGTTTCTGAGAATGCTTCCATCTAGTTTTTATGTGAAGATTTTCCTTTTCCACCACAGACCTCAAAGCCCTCCAAATGTCCCCTTGCAGATTCTAGAAAAAGAGGGTTTCAGAGCTGCTCTGCCAAGAGGAAAGTTCAATTCTTGAAGTGGAACACAAACATCACAAAGCAGTTTCTGAGAATGCTCCTGTTTAGTTTTTCTGTGAAGATGAACCCGTTTCCAACGAAATCTTCACAGAGGTCCACATATCCACTTGCAGAATCCAAAGAAAGAGAGTTTCAAAACTGCTCCATCAGC
Organism: Homo sapiens; assembly: GCF_000001405.40. Classification (NCBI taxonomy): domain Eukaryota; kingdom Metazoa; phylum Chordata; class Mammalia; order Primates; family Hominidae; genus Homo; species Homo sapiens. The sequence goes on along the minus strand of NC_000011.10, from coordinate 51,106,800 downwards.
AGGATTGTTCACCTCTGTGAGTTGAATGCAGTCATCACAGGAAACATTCTAAGAATGCTTCTGTCTAGGTTTGATGTGAAGATATACCCGTTTCGAAGGAAGGCCACAAAGTGGTCCAAATATCCACTTGCAGATTCTACAAAAAGAGTGTTTGAAAGCTGAACTATGAAAGAAAGGTTCAACTCTGTGAGTTGAATGCAAACATCACAAAGAAGTTTCTCAGAATGCTTCCGGGTAGTTCTGGGAAGTTTATCCCGTTTCCAACGAAATCCTCAGAGAAGTCCAAATATCCACTTGCAGATTCTACAGAAAGTGTGTTTGGAAACTGCTCTATCTAAAGGAATGTTCAGCTCTGTTAGTTCAATCCAATGATCACTAAGAATTGTCTGTGAATGCTTCCGTTTGGTTTTTAGATGAAGTTATTTCCTTTACTACAGTAGGCCTCAAAGCAGTCCAAATCTCCAATCGCAGATTCTACAAAAAGATTGTTTCCAACCTGCTCTATCTATAGGAATGTTCAACTCTGTGAGTCGAATGCAATCATCACAAAGTAGTTTCTGAGAATGCTTCCATCTAGTTTTTATGTGAAGATTTTCCTTTTCCACCACAGGCCTCAAAGCCCTCCAAATGTCCACTTGCAGATTCTAGAATAAGAGGGTTTCAGAGCTGCTCTGTCAAGAGGAAAGTTCAATTCCTGAAGTGGAACACAAACATCACAAAGCAGTTTCTGAGAATGCTCCTGTTTAGTTTTTCTGTGAAGATGAACCCGTTTCCAACAAAATCTTCACAGAGGTCCACATATCCACTTGCAGAATCCAAAGAAAGAGAGTTTCAAAACTGCTCCATCAGCAGGATTGTTCACCTCTGTGAGTTGAATGCAGTCATCACAGGAAACATTCTGGGAATGCTTCTGTCTAGGTTTGATGTGAAGATATACCCGTTTCGAAGGAAGGCCACAAAGTGGTCCAAATATCCACTTGCAGAATCTACAAAAAGAGTGTTTGAAAGCTGTACTATGAAAGCAAGGTTCAACTCTGTGAGTTGAATGCAAACATCACAAAGAAGTTTCTCAGAATGCTTCCCTGTAGTTCTGGGAAGCATATCCCGTTTCCAACGAAATCCTCAGAGAAGTCCAAATATCCACTTGCTGATTCTACAGAAAGTGGGTTTGGAAACTGCTCCATCTAAAGGAATGTTCAGCTCTGTTAGTTCAATCCAATGATCACTAAGAATTTTCTGTGAATTCTTCCGTTTGGTTTTTAGATGAAGTTATTTCCTTTACTACAGTAGGCCTCAAAGCAGTCCAAATCTCCAATCGCAGATTCTACAAAAAGATTGTTTTCAAACTGCTCTATCTATAGGAATGTTCAACTCTGTGAGTCGAATGCAATCATCACAAAGTAGTTTCCGAGAATGCTTCCATCTAGTTTTTATGTGAAGATTTTCCTTTTCCACCACAGGCCTCAAAGCCCTCCAAATGTCCACTTGCAGATTCTGGAAAAAGAGGGTTTCAGAGCTGCTCTGTCAAGAGGAAAGTTCAATTCCTGAAGTGGATCACAAACATCACAAAGCAGTTTCTGAGAATGCTTCTGTTTAGTTTTTCTGTGAAGATGAACCCGTTTCCAACGAAATCTTCACAGAGGTCCACATATCCACTTGCAGAATCCAAAGAAAGAGAGTTTCAAAACTGATCCATCAGCAGGATTGTTCACCTCTGTGAGTTGAATGCAGTCATCACAGGAAACATTCTGAGAATGCTTCTGTCCAGGTTTGATGTGAAGATATACCCGTTTCGAAGGAAGGCCACAAAGTGGTCCAAATATCCACTTGCAGATTCTACAAAAAGAGTGTTTGAAAGCTGAACTATGAAAGCAAGGTTCAACTCTGTGAGTTGAATGCAAACATCACAAAGATGTTTCTCACAATGCTTCCGTGTAGTTCTGGGAAGTTTATCCCGTTTCCAACGAAATCCTCAGAGAGGTCCAAATATCCACTTGCAGATTCTACAGAAAGTGTGTTTGGAAACTGCTCCATCTAAAGGAATGTTCAGCTCTGTTAGTTCAATCCAATGATCACTAAGAATTGTCTGTGAATGCTTCCGTTTGGTTTTTAGATGAAGTTATTTCCTTTACTACAGTAGGCCTCAAAGCAGTCCAAATCTCCAATCGCAGATTCTACAAAAAGATTGTTTTCAACCTGCTCTATCTATAGGAATGTTCAACTCTGTGAGTCGAATGCAATCATCACAAAGTAGTTTCTGAGAATGCTTCCATCTAGTTTTTATGTGAAGATTTTCCTTTTCCACCACAGGCCTCAAAGCCCTCCAAATGTCCACTTGCAGATTCTAGAAAAAGGGGGTTTCAGAGCTGCTCTGTCAAGAGGATAGTTCAATTCCTGAAGTGGAACACAAACATCACAAAGCAGTTTCTGAGAATGCTTCTTTTTAGTTTTTCTGTGAAGATGAACCCGTTTCCAACGAAATCTTCACAGAGGTCCACATATCAACTTGCAGAATCCAAAGAAAGAGAGTTTCAAAACTGCTCCATCAACAGGATTGTTCACCTCTGTGAGTTGAATGCAGTCATCACAGGAAACATTCTGAGAATGCTTCTGTCTAGGTTTGATGTGAAGATATACCCGTTTCGAAGCAAGGCCACAAAGTGGTCCAAATATCCACTTGCAGATTCTACAAAAAGAGTGTTTGAAAGCTGAACTATGAAAGCAAGGTTCAACTCTGTGAGTTGAATGCAAACATCACAAAGAAGTTTCTCAGAATGCTTCCGTGTAGTTCTGGGAAGTTTATCCCGTTTCCAACGAAATCCTCAGAGAGGTCCAAATATCCACTTGCAGATTCTACAGAAAGTGTGTTTGGAAACTGCGCCATCTAAAGGAATGTTCAGCTCTGTTAGTTCAATCCAATGATCACTAAAAATTGTCTGTGAATGCATCAGGTTGGTTTTTATATGAAGTTATTTCCTTTACTACAGTAGGCCTCAAAGCAGTCCAAATCTCCAATCGCAGATTCTACAAAAAGATTGTTTACAACCTGCTCTATCTATAGGAATGTTCAACTCTGTGAGTCGAATGCAATCATCACAAAGGAGTTTCTGAGAATACTTTCATGTAGTTTTTATGTGAAGATTTTCCTTTTCCACCACAGGCCTCAAAGCCCTCCCAAGGTCCACTTGCAGATTCTAGAAAAAGAGGGTTTCAGAGCTGCTCTGTCAAGAGGAAAGTTCAATTCTTGAAGTGGAACACAAACATCACAAAGCAGTTTCTGAGAATGCTTCTGTTTAGTTTTTCTGTGAAGATGAACCCGTTTCCAACGAAATCTTCACAGATGTCCACATATCTACTTGCAGAATCCAAAGAAAGAGAGTTTCAAAACTGCTCCGTCAGCAGGATTGTTCCCCTCTGTGAGTTGAATGCAGTCATCACAGGAAACATTCTGAGAATGCTTCTGTCTAGGTTTGATGTGAAGATATACCCGTTTCGAAGGAAGGCCACAAAGTGGTCCAAATATCCACTTGCAGATTCCACAAAAAGAGTGTTTGAAAGCTGAACTATGAAAGCAAGGTTCAACTCTGTGAGTTGAATGCAAACATCACAAAGAAGTTTCTCACAATGCTTTCCGTGTAGTTCTGGGAAGTTTATCCCCTTTCCAACGAAATCCTCAGAGAGGTCCAAATATCCACTTGCAGATTCTACAGAAAGTGTGTTTGGAAACTGCGCCATCTAAAGGAATGTTCAGCTCTGTTAGTTCAATGCAATGATCACTAAGAATTGTCTGTGAATGCTTCCGTTTGGTTTTTAGATGAAGTTATTTCCTTTACTACAGTAGGCCTCAAAGCAGTCCAAATCTCCAATCGCAGATTCTACAAAAAGATAGTTTACAACCTGCTCTCCCTATAGGAATGTTGAACTCTGTGAGTCGAATGCAATCATCACAAAGTAGTTTCTGAGAATGCTTCCATCTAGTTTTTATGTGAAGAGTTTCCTTTTCCACCACAGGCCTCAAAGCCCTCCAAATGTCCACTTGCAGATTCTAGAAAAAGAGGGTTTCAGAGCTGCTCTGTCGAGAGGAAAGTTCAATTCTTGAAGTGGAACACAAACATCACAAAGCAGTTTCTGAGAATGCTTCTGTTTAGTTTTTCTGTGAAGATGAACACGTTTCCAACGAAATCTTCACAGAGGTCCACATATCAACTTGCAGAATCCAAAGAAAGAGAGTTTCAAATGTGCCCCATCAACAGGATTGTTCACCTCTGTGAGTTGAATGCAGTCATCACAGGAAACATTCTGAGAATGCTTCTGTCTAGGTTTGATGTGAAGATATACCCGTTTCGAAGGAAGGCCACAAAGTGGTCCAAATATCCACTTGCAGATTCTACAAAAAGAGTGTTTGAAAGCTGAACTATGAAAGCAAGGTTCAACTCTGTGAGTTGAATGCAAACATCAGAAAGAAGTTTCTCAGAATGCTTCCGTGTAGTTCTGGGAATTTTATCCCGTTTCCAACGAAATCCTCAGAGAAGTCCAAATATCCACTTGCAGATTCTACAGAAAGTGTGTTTGGAAACTGCTCCATCTAAAGGAATGTTCAGCTCTGTTAGTTCAATCCAATGATCACTAAGAATTGTCTGTGAATGCTTCCGTTTGGTTTTTAGATGAAGTTATTTCCTTTACTACAGTAGGCCTCAAAGCAGTCCAAATCTCCAATCGCAGATTCTACAAAAAGATTGTTTACAACCTGCTCTATCGATAGGAATGTTCAACTCTGTGAGTCGAATGCAATCATCACAGAGCAGTTTCTGAGAATGCTTCCATCTAGTTTTTATGTGAAGATTTTCCTTTTCCACCACAGGCCTCAAAGCCCTCCAAATGTCCACTTGCAGATTCTAGAATAAGAGGGTTTCAGAGCTGCTCTGTCAAGAGGAAAGTTCAATTCTTGAAGTGGAACACAAACATCACAAAGCAGTTTCTGAGAATGTTCCTGTTATTTTTTCTGTGAAGATGAACCCGTTTCCAACGAAATCTTCACAGAGGTCCACATATCCACCTGCAGAATCCAAAGAAAGAGAGTTTCAAAACTGCTCCATGAGCAGGATTGTTCACCTCTGTGAGTTGAATGCAGTCATCACAGGAAACATTCTGAGAATGCTTCTGTCTAGGTTTGATGTGAAGATATACCCGTTTCGAAGGAAGGCCACAAAGTGGTCCAAATATCCACTTGCAGATTCTACAAAAAGAGTGTTTGAAAGCTGAACTATGAAAGCAAGGTTCAACTCTGTGAGTTGAATGCAAACATCACAAAGAAGTTTCTCACAATGCTTCCGTGTAGTTCTGGGAAGTTTATCCCGTTTCCAACGAAATCCTTAGAGAAGTCCAAATATCCACTTGCAGATTCTACAGAAAGTGTGTTTGGAAACTGCGCCATCTAAAGGAATGTTCAGCTCTGTTAGTTCAATGCAATGATCACTAAGAATTGTCTGTGAATGCTTCCGTTTAGTTTTTAGATGAAGTTATTTCCTTTACTACAGTAGGCCTCAAAGCAGTCCAAATCTCCAATCGCAGATTCTACAAAAAGATTGTTTTCAACCTGCTCTATCTATAGGAATGTTCAACTCTGTGAGTCGAATGCAATCATCACAAAGTAGTTTCTGAGAATGCTTCCATCTAGTTTTTATGTGAAGATTTTCCTTTTCCACCACAGGCCTCAAAGCCCTCCAAATGTCCACTTGCAGATTCTAGAATAAGAGGTTTTCAGAGCTGCTCTGTCAAGAGGAAAGTTCAATTCCTGAAGTGGAACAAAAACATCACAAAGCAGTTTCTGATAATGCTTCTGTTTAGTTTTTCTGTGAAGATGAACCCGATTCCAACGAAATCTTCACAGAGGTCCACATATCCACTTGCAGAATCCAAAGAAAGAGAGTTTCAAAACTGCTCCATCAACAGGATTGTTCACCTCTGTGAGTTGAATGCAGTCATCACAAGAAACATTCTGAGAATGCTTCTGTCTAGGTTTGATGTGAAGATATACCCGTTTCGAAGGAAGGCCACAAAGTGGTCCAAATATCCACTTGCAGATTCTACAAAAAGAGTTTTTGAAAGCTGAACTATGAAAGCAAGGTTCAACTCTGTGAGTTGAATGCAAACATCACAAAGAAGTTTCTCACAATGCTTCCGTGTAGTTCTGGGAAGTTTATCCCTTTTCCAACGAAATCCTCAGAGAAGTCCAAGTATCCACTTGCAGATTCTACAGAAAGTGTGTTTGGAAACTGCTCCATCTAAAGGAATGTTCAGCTCTGTTAGTTCAATCCAATGATCACTAAGAATTGTCTGTGAATGCTTCTGTTTGGTTTTTAGATGAAGTTATTTCCTTTACTACAGTAGGCCTCAAAGCAGTCCAAATCTCCAATCGCAGATTCTACAAAAAGATTGTTTTCAACCTGCTCTATCTATAGGAATGTTGAACTCTGTGAGTCGAATGAAATCATCACAAAGTAGTTTCTGAGAATGCTTCCATCTAGTTTTTATGTGAAGATTTTCCTTTTCCACCACAGGCCTCAAAGCCCTCCAAATGTCCACTTGCAGATTCTAGAATAAGAGGGTTTCAGAGCTGCTCTGTCAAGAGGAAAGTTCAATTCCTGAAGTGGAACACAAACATCACAAAGCAGTTTCTGAGAATGCTTCTGTTTAGTTTTTCTGTGAAGATGAACCCGTTTCCAACGAAATCTTCACAGAGGTCCACATATCCACTTGCAGAATCCAAAGAAAGAGAGTTTCAAAACTGCTCCATCAGCAGGATTGTTCACCTTTGTGAGTTGAATGCAGTCATCACAGGAAACATTCTGAAAATGCTTCTGTCTAGGTTTGATGTGAAGATATACCCGTTTCGAAGGAAGGCCACAAAGTGGTCCAAATATCCACTTGCAGATTCTACAAAAAGAGTGTTTGAAAGCTGAAGTATGAAAGCAAGGTTCAACTCTGTGAGTTGAATGCAAACATCACAAATAAGTTTCTCACAATGCTTCCGTGTAGTTCTGGGAAGTTTATCCCGTTTCCAACGAAATCCTCAGAGAGGTCCAAATATCCACTTGCAGATTCTACAGAAAGTGTGTTTTTTAAACTGCGCCATCTTAAGGAACGTTCAGCTCTGTTAGTTCAATCCAATGATCACTAAGAATTGTCTGTGAATGCTTCCGTTTGGTTTTTAGATGAGGTTATTTCCTTTACTACAGTAGGCCTCAAAGCAGTCCAAATCTCCAATCGCAGATTCTACAAAAAGATTGTTTACAACCTGCTCTACCTATAGGAATGTTCAACTCTGTGAGTCGAATGCAATCATCACAAAGTAGTTTCTGAGAATGCTTCCATCTAGTTTTTATGTGAAGATTTTCGTTTTCCACCACAGGCCTCAAAGCCCTCCAAATGTCCACTTGCAGATTCTAGAATAAGAGGGTTTCAGAGCTGCTCTGTGAAGAGGAAAGTTCAATTCCTGAAGTGGAACACAAACATAACAAAGCAGTTTCTGAGAATGCTTCTGTTTAGTTTTTCTGTGAAGATGAACCCGTTTCCAACGAAATCTTCACAGAGGTCCACATATCAACTTGCAGAATCCAAAGAAAGAGAGTTTCAAAAGTGCTCCATCAGCAGGATTGTTCACCTCTGTGAGTTGAATGCAGTCATCACAGGAAACATTCTGAGAATGCTTCTGTCTAGGTTTGATGTGAAGATATACCCGTTTCGAAGGAAGGCCACAAAGTGGTACAAATATCCACTTGCAGATTCTACAAAAAGAGTGTTTGAAAGCTGAACTATGAAAGCAAGGTTCAACTCTGTGAGTTGAATGCAAACATCACAAAGAAGTTTCTCAGAATGCTTCCGTGTAGTCCTGGGAAGTTTATCCCGTTTCCAACGAAATCCTCAGAGAGGTCCAAATATCTACTTGCAGATTCTACAGAAAGTGTGTTTGGAAACTGCGCCATCTAAAGGAATGTTCAGCTCTGTTAGTTCAATGCAATGATCACTAAGAATTGTCTGTGAATGCTTCCGTTTGGTTTTTAGATGAAGTTATTTCCTTTACTACAGTAGGCCTCAAAGCAGTCCAAATCTCCAATCGCAGATTCTACAAAAAGATTGTTTACAACCTGCTCTATGTATAGGAATGTTCAACTCTGTGAGTCGAATGCAATCATCACAAAGTAGTTTCTGAGAATGCTTCCATCTAGTTTTTATGTGAAGATTTTCCTTTTCCACCACAGGCCTCAAAGCCCTCCAAATGTCCACTTGCAGATTCTAGAATAAGAGGGTTTCAGAGCTGCTCTGTCAAGAGGAAAGTTCAATTCCTGAAGTGGAACACAAACATCACAAAGCAGTTTCTGAGAATGCTGCTGTTTAGTTTTTCTGTGAAGATGAACCCGTTTCCAACGAAATCTTCACAGAGGTCCACATATCCACTTGCAGAATCCAAAGAAAGAGAGTTTCAAAACTGCTCCATCAACAGGATTGTTCACCTCTGTGAGTTCAATGAAGTCATCACAGGAAACATTCTGAGAATGCTTCTGTCTAGGTTTGATGTGAAGATATACCCGTTTCGAAGGAAGGCCACAAAGTGGTCCAAATATCCACTTGCAGATTCTACAAAAAGAGTGTTTGAAAGCTGAACTATAAAAGCAAGGATCAACTCTGTGAGTTGAATGCAAACATCACAAAGAAGTTTCTCAGAATGCTTCCGTGTAGTTCTGGGAAGTTTATCCCGTTTCCAACGAAATCCTCAGAGAGGTCCAAATATCCACTTGCAGATTCTACAGAAAGTGTGTTTGGAAACTGCGCCATGTAAAGGAATGTTCAGCTCTGTTAGTTCAATGCAATGATCACTAAGAATTGTCTGTGAATGCTTCCGTTTGGTTTTTAGATGAAGTTATTTCCTTTACTACAGTAGGCCTCAAAGCAGTCCAAATCTCCAATCGCAGATTCTACAAAAAGATTGTTTACAACCTGCTCTATCTATAGGAATGTTCAACTCTGTTAGTCGAATGCAATCATCACAAAGTATTTTCTGAGAATGCTTCCATCTAGTTTTTATGTGAAGATTTTCCTTTTCCACCACAGGCCTCAAAGCCCTCCAAATGTCCACTTGCAGATTCTAGAAAAAGAGGGTTTCAGAGCTGCTCTGTCAAGAGGAACGTTCAATTCCTGAAGTGGAACAAAAACATCACAAAGCAGTTTCTGAGAATGCTTCTGTTTAGTTTTTCTGTGAAGATTAACCCGTTTCCAACGAAATCTTCACAGAGGTCCACATATCCACTTGCAGAATCCAAAGAAAGAGAGTTTCAAAACTGCTCCATCAGCAGGATTGTTCACCGCTGTGAGTTGAATGCAGTCATCACAGGAAACATTCTGAAAATGCTTCTGTCTAGGTTTGATGTGAAGATATACCCGTTTCGAAGGAAGGCCACAAAGTGGTCCAAATATCCACTTGCAGATTCTACAAAAAGAGTGTTTGAAAGCTGAAGTATGAAAGCAAGGTTCAACTCTGTGAGTTGAATGCAAACATCACAAGTAAGTTTCTCACAATGCTTCCGTGTAGTTCTGGGAAGTTTATCCCGTTTCCAACGAAATCCTCAGAGAGGTCAAAATATCCACTTGCAGATTCTACAGAAAGTGTGTTTGGAAACTGTGCCATCTAAAGGAATGTTCAGCTCTGTTAGTTCAATCCAATAATCACTAAGAATTGTCTGTGAATGCTTCCGTTTGGTTTTTAGATGAAGTTATTTCCTTTGCTACAGTAGGCCTCAAAGCAGTCCAAATCTCCAATCGCAGATTCTACAAAAAGATTGTTTACAACCTGCTCTATCTATAGGAATGTTCAACTCTGTGAGTCGAATGCAATCATCACAAAGGAGTTTCTGAGAATGCTTCCATCTAGTTTTTATGTGAAGATTTTCCTTTTCCACCACAGGCCTCAAAGCCCTCCAAATGTCCACTTGCAGATTCTAGAAAAAGAGGGTTTCAGAGCTGCTCTGTCAAGAGGAAAGTTCAATTCTTTAGGTGGAACACAAACATCACAAAGCAGTTTCTGAGAATGCTTCTGTTTAGTTTTTCTGTGAAGATGAACCCGTTTCCAACGAAATCTTCACAGAGGTCCACATATCAACTTGCAGAATCCAAAGAAAGAGAGTTTCAAAAGTGCTCCATCAACAGGATTGTTCACCTCTGTGAGTTGAATGCAGTCATCACAGGAAACATTCTGAGAATGCTTCTGTCTAGGTTTGATGTGAAGATATACCCGTTTCGAAGGAAGGCCACAAAGTGGTCCAAATATCCACTTGCAGATTCTACAAAAAGAGTGTTTGAAAGCTGAACTATGAAAGCAAGTTTCAACTCTGTGAGTTGAATGCAAACATCACAAAGAAGTTTCTCAGCATGCTTCCGTGTAGTTCTGGGAAGTTTATCCCGTTTCCAACGAAATCCTCAGAGAAGTCCAAATATCCACTTGCAGATTCCACAGAAAGTGGGTTTGGAAACTGCTCCATCTAAAGGAATGTTCAGCTCTGTTAGTTCAATCCAATGATCACTAAGAATTGTCTGTGAATGCTTCCGTTAGGTTTTTAGATGAAGTTATTTCCTTTACTACAGTAGGCCTCAAAGCAGTCCAAATGTCCAATCGCAGATTCTACAAAAAGATTGTTTACAACCTGCTCTATCTATAGGAATGTTCAACTCTGTGAGTCGAATGCAATCATCACAAAGTAGTTTCTGAGAATGCTTCCATCTAGTTTTTATGTGAAGATTTTCCTTTTCCACCACAGGCCTCAAAGCCCTCCAAATGTCCACTTGCAGGTTCTAGAAAAAGAGGGTTTCAGAGCTGCTCTGTCAAGAGGAAAGTTCAATTGCTTGAAGTGGAACACAAACATCACAAAGCAGTTTCTGAGAATGCTTCCTGTTTAGTTTTTCTGTGAGGATGAACCCGTTTCCAACGAAATCTTCACAGAGGTCCACATATCCACTTGCAGAATCCAAAGAAAGAGAGTTTCAAAACTGCTCCGTCAGCAGGATTGTTCACCTCTGTGAGTTGAATGCAGTCATCACAGGAAAACATTCTGAGAATGCTTCTGTCTAGGTTTGATGTGAAGATATACCCGTTTCGAAGGAAGGCCACAAAGTGGTCCAAATATACACTTGCAGATTCTACAAAAAGAGTGTTTGAAAGCTGAACTATGAAAGCAAGGTTCAACTCTGTGAGTTGAATGCAAACATCACAAAGAAGTTTCTCACAATGCTTCCGTGTAGTTCTGGGAAGTTTATCCCGTTTCCAACGAAATCCTCAGAGAGGTCCAAATATCCACTTGCAGATTCTACAGAAAGTGTGTTTGGAAACTGCGCCATCTAAAGGAATGTTCAGCTCTGTTAGTTCAATGCAATGATCACTAAGAATTGTCTGTGATTGCTTCCGTTTGGTTTTTAGATGAAGTTATTTCCTTTACTACAGTAAGCCTCAAAGTAGTCCAAATCTCTAATCGCAGATTCTACAAAGAGATTGTTTACAACCTGCTCTCTCTATAGGAATGTTCAACTCTGTGAGTCGAATGCAATCATCACAAAGTAGTTTCTGAGAATCCTTCCATCTAGTTTTTATGTGAAGATTTTCCTTTTCCACCACAGGCCTCAAAGCCCTCCAAATGTCCACTTGCAGATTCTAGAATAAGAGGGTTTCAGAGCTGCTCTGTCAAGAGGAAAGTTCAATTCCTGAAGTGGAACACAAACATCACAAAGCAGTTTCTGAGAATGCTCCTGTTTAGTTTTTCTGTGAAGATGAACCCGTTTCCAACGAAATCTTCAAAGAGTTCCACATATCCACTTGCAGAATCCAAAGAAAGGGAGTTTCAAAACTGCTCCATCAACAGGATTGTTCACCTCTGTGAGTTGAATGCAGTCATCACAGGAAACATTCTGAGAATGCTTCTGTCTAGGTTTGATGTGAAGATATACCCGTTTCGAAGGAAGGCCACAAAGTGGTCCAAATATCCACTTGCAGATTCTACAAAAAGAGTGTTTGAAAGCTGAACTATGAAAGCAAGGTTCAACTCTGTGAGTTGAATGCAAACATCACAAAGAAGTTTCTCACAATGCTTCCGTGTAGTTCTGGGAAGTTTATCCCGTTTCCAACGAAATCCTCAGAGAGGTCCAAATATCCACTTGCAGATTCTACAGAAAGTGTGTTTGGAAACTGCTCCATCTAAAGGAATGTTCAGCTCTGTTAGTTCAATCCAATGATCACTAAGAATTGTCTGTGAATGCTTCCGTTTGGTTTTTAGATGAAGTTATTTCCGTTACTACAGTAGGCCTCAATGCAGTCCAAATATCCAATCGCAGATTCTACAAAAAGATTGTTTACAACCTGCTCTATGTATAGGAATGTTCAACTCTGTGAGTCGAATGCAGTCATCACAAAGTAGTTTCTGAGAATGCTTCCATCTAGTTTTTATATGAAGATTTTCCTTTTCCACCACAGGCCTCAAAGCCCTCCAAATGTCCACTTGCAGATTCTAGAATAAGAGGGTTTCAGAGCTGCTCTGTCAAGAGGAAAGTTCAATTCCTGAAGTGGAACACAAACATCACAAAGCAGTTTCTGAGAATGCTTCTGTTTAGTTTTTCTGTGAAGATGAACCCGTTTCCAACGAAATCTTCACAGAGGTCCACATATCAACTTGCAGAATCCAAAGAAAGAGAGTTTCAAAACTGCTCCATCAACAGGATTGTTCACCTCTGTGAGTTGAATGCAGTCATCACAGGAAACATTCTGAGAATGCTTCTGTCTAGGTTTGATGTGAAGATATACCCGTTTCGAAGGAAGGCCACAAAGTGGTCCAAATATCCACTTGCAGATTCTACAAAAAGAGTGTTTGAAAGCTGAACTATGAAAGCAAGGTTCAACTCTGTGAGTTGAATGCAAACATCACAAAGAAGTTTCTCAGCATGCTTCCGTGTAGTTCTGGGAAGTTTATCCCGTTTCCAACGAAATCCTCAGAGAGGTCCAAATATCCACTTGCAGATTCTACAGAAAGTGTGTTTGGAAACTGCGCCATCTAAAGCAATGTTCAGCTCTGTTAGTTCAATGCAATGATCACTAAGAATTGTCTGTGAATGCTTCCGTTTCGTTTTTAGATGAAGTTATTTCCTTTACTACAGTAGGCCTCAAAGCAGTCCAAATCTCCAATCGCAGATTCTACAAAAAGATTGTTTACAACCTGCTCTATCTATAGGAATGTTCAACTCTGTGAGTCGAATGCAATCATCACAAAGTAGTTTCTGAGAATGCTTCCATCTAGTTTTTATGTGAAGATTTTCGTTTTCCACCACAGGCCTCAAAGCCCTCCAAATGTCCACTTGCAGATTCTAGAAAAAGAGGGTTTCAGAGCTGCTCTGTCAAGAGAAAAGTTCAATTCTTGAAGTGGAACACAAACATCACAAAGCAGTTTCTGAGAATGCTTCTGTTTAGTTTTTCTGTGAGGATGAACCCGTTTCCAACGAAATCTTCACAGAGTTCCACATATCAACTTGCAGAATCCAAAGAAAGAGAGTTTCAAAAGTGCTCCATCAGCAGGATTGTTCACCTCTGTGAGTTGAATGCAGTCATCACAGGAAACATTCTGAGAATGCTTCTGTCTAGGTTTGATGTGAAGATATACCCGTTCGAAGGAAGGCCACAAAGTGGTCCAAATATCCACTTGCAGATTCTACAAAAAGAGTGTTTGAAAGCTGAACTATGAAAGCAAGGTTCAACTCTGTGAGTTGAATGCAAACATCACAAAGAAGTTTCTCAGAATGCTTCCGTGTAGTTCTGGGAAGTTTATCCCGTTTCCAACGAAATCCTCAGAGAAGTCCAAATATCCACTTGCAGATTCTACAGAAAGTGTGTTTGGAAACTGCGCCATCTAAAGGAATGTTCAGCTCTGTTAGTTCAATGCAATGATCACTAAGAATTGTCTGTGAATGCTTCCGTTTGGTTTTTAGATGAAGTTATTTCCTTTACTACAGTAGGTCTCAAAGCAGTCCAAATCTCCAATCGCAGATTCTACAAAAAGATTGTTTACAACCTGCTCTATCTATACGAATGTTCAACTCTGTGAGTCGAATGCAATCATCACAAAGTAGTTTCTGAGAATGCTTCCATCTAGTTTTTATGTGAAGATTTTCCTTTTCCACCAGAGGCCTCAAAGCCCTCCAAATGTCCACTTGCAGATTCTAGAAAAAGAGGGTTTCAGAGCTACTCTGTCAAGAGGAAAGTTCAATTCCTGAAGTGGAACACAAACATCACAAAGCAGTTTCTGAGAATGCTCCTGTTTAGTTTTTCTGTGAAGATGAACCCATTTCCAACGAAATCTTCACAGAGGTCCACATATCCACCTGCAGAATCCAAAGAAAGAGAGTTTCAAAACTGCTCCATCAGCAGGATTGTTCACCTCTGTGAGTTGAATGCAGTCATCACAGGAAACATTCTGAGAATGCTTCTGTCTAGGTTTGATGTGAAGATATACCCGTTTCGAAGGAAGGCCACAAAGTGGTCCAAATATCCACTTGCAGATTCTACAAAAAGAGTGTTTGAAAGCTGAACTATGAAAGCAAGGTTCAACTCTGTGAGTTGAATGCAAACATCACAAAGAAGTTTCTCACAATGCTTCCGTGTAGTTCTGGGAAGTTTATCCCGTTTCCAACGAAATCCTCAGAGAGGTCCAAATATCCACTTGCAGATTCTACAGAAAGTGTGTTTGGAAACTGCTCCATCTAAAGGAATGTTCAGCTCTGTTAGTTCAATCCAATGATCACTAAGAATTGTCTGTGAATGCTTCCGTTTGGTTTTTAGATGAAGTTATTTCCTTTACTACAGTAGGCCTCAAAGCAGTCCAAATCTCCAATCGCAGATTCTACAAAAAGATTGTTTACAACGTACTCTATCTATACGAATGTTCAAATCTGTGAGTCGAATGCAATCATCACAAAGTAGTTTCTGAGAATGCTTCCATCTAGTTTTTATGTGAAGATTTTCCTTTTCCACCACAGGCCTCAAAGCCCTCCAAATGTCCACTTGCAGATTCTAGAAAAAGAGGGTTTCAGAGCTGCTCTGTCAAGAGGAAAGTTCAATTCTTGAAGTGGAACACAAACATCACAAAGCAGTTTCTGAGAATGTTCCTGTTTAGTTTTTCTGTGAAGATGAACCCGTTTCCAACGAAATCTTCACAGAGGTCCACATATCCACTTGCAGAATCCAAAGAAAGAGAGTTTCAAAACTGCTCCATCAGCAGGATTGTTCACCTCTGTGAGTTGAATGCAGTCATCACAGGAAACATTCTGAGAATGCTTCTGTCTAGGTTTGATGTGAAGATATACCCCTTTCGAAGGAAGGCCACAAAGTGGTCCAAATATCCACTTGCAGATTCTACAAAAATAGTGTTTGAAAGCTGAATTATGAAAGCAAGGTTCAACTTCTGTGAGTTGAATGCAAACATCACAAAGAAGTTTCTCAGAATGCTTCCGTGTAGTTCTGGGAAGTTTATCCCGTTTCCAAAGAAAATCCTCAGAGAGGTCCAAATATCCACTTGCAGATTCTACAGAAAGTGTGTTTGGAAACTGCGCCATCTAAAGGAATGTTCAGCTCTGTTAGTTGAATCCAATGATCACTAAGAATTCTCTGTGAATGCTTCCGTTTGGTTTTTAGATGAAGTTATTTCCTTTACTACAGTAGGCCTCAAAGCAGTCCAAATCTCCATTCGCAGATTATACAAAAAGATTGTTGCCAACCTGCTCTATCTATAGGAATGTTCAACTCTGTGAGTCGAATGCAATCATCACAAAGTAGTTTCTGAGAATGCTTCCATCTAGTTTTCATGTGAAGATTTTCCTTTTCCACCACAGGCCTCAAAGCCCTCCAAATGTCCACCTGCAGATTCTAGAAAAATAGGGTTTCAGACCTGCTCTGTCAAGAGGAAAGTTCAATTCCTGAAGTGGAAAACAAACATCACAAAGCAGTTTCTGAGAATGCTTCTGTTTAGTTTTTCTGTGACGATGAACCCGTTTCCAACGAAATCTTCACAGAGGTCCACATATCCACTTGCAGAATCCAAAGAAAGAGATTTTCAAAACTGCTCCATCAGCAGGATTGTTCACCTCTGTGAGTTGAATGCAGTCATCACAGGAAACATTCTGAGAATGCTTCTGTCTAGGTTTGATGTGAAGATATACCCGTTTCGAAGGAAGGCCACAAAGTGGCCCAAATATCCACTTGCAGATTCTACAAAAGGAGTGTTTGAAAGCTGAACTATGAAAGCAAGGTTCAACTCTGTGAGTTGAATGCAAACATCACAAAGAAGTTTCTCACAATGC
>NC_000011.10:51078348-51090317 GCF_000001405.40 Homo sapiens | reverse complement strand
TCTGTCTAGTTTGTATGCGAAGATATACCCGTTTTCAACGAATTCCTAATCGCCGTCCAAATATCCACTTGCAGATTCTGCAAAAAGTGAGTTTCATACCTGCTCTATCAAAAGGAATGTTCAGCTCTGTGAGTTGAATGCAAACATCAAAAAGAAGTTTCTGAGAATGCTTCTGTCTAGTTTTTATGTGAAGATATTTCCTTTTTCAATATAGGCCACAGAGCGCTCCAAATATCCACTTGCAGATTATACAAAAAGTGTGTTTCAATACTGCTCTATCAAAAGAAAGTTTGAACTCTGTGAGTTGAATGCACGCGTCACAAAGTAGTTTCTGAGAAGGCTTTTGTGTAGTTTTTATATGATGATATTCCTGTTACCAACAAAGCCCTCAAAGCGATCGAAATATTCGCTTGCACATTCTACAAAAAGAGTGTTTCAGTACTTCTCTATCAAAATGGATGTTCAACTCGGTGTGTTGAATGCACTCATCACAAAGAAGTTTCTGAGAATGCTTCTGTCTAGTTTTTATGTTACGTTATTTCCTTTTTCAGCATAGGCCTGAAAGCGCTCCCAATGTCCACTTGCAGATTCTACAAATAGAGTGATTCAAAACTGCTCTATCAAAAGAAATATTCAACTCTGTCAGTTGAATGCACACATCACAAAGAAGTTTCTGAAAATGCTTCTGTCTTGTTTTTAGATGAAGATATTCCTGTTTCAAACAAAGGACTCAAAGTGGTCCAAGTATCCACATGCAGATTCTACAAAAAGAGTGTTTCAAAACTGGTCTATCAAAACGAATGTTCAACTCTGTGAGTTGAATGCACACACCACTAAGAAGTTTCTGAGAATGCTTCTGTCTAGTTTTTATGTGAAGATATTTCCATTTTCACCATCGGCCGCAAAGCGCCCCAAATGTCCACTTGCAGATCCTTCAAATAGAGTGTTTCAAAAGTGCTCTATCAAAAGGAATGTTCAACTCTGTGAGTTGAATGCACAGATCACAAAAAAGTTTATGAGAATGCTTCTGTATAGTTTTTATGTTAAGATATACCCGTTTCCAACGAATTCCAAAAGTGGTACCAATATCCACTTGCAGATTCTACAAAAAGAGTGTTTCAAAACTGCTCTATCCAAAGAAAGTTTCAACTCTGTGCGTTGAATGCACACATCACAATGAAGTTTCTGAGAATGCTTCTGTGTAGTTTTTATGTGAAGGTATTTCCTTTTTCACAAGAGTCCTCAAATCGCTCCAAATATCCACTTGCAGATACTATAAAAAGAGTGTTTCAAAACTGCTGTATCAAAAGGAATGTTCATGTGTTTGAGTTGAATGCACACATCACAAAGAAGTTTCTGAGAATGCTTCTGTCTAGTTTTTATGTTAAGATATACTCGTTTCCAACGAATTCCAAAAGCGGTACAAATATCCACTTGCAGATCCCACAAAAAGAGTATTTCAAAACTGCTCTATCCAAAGAAAGTTTCAACTCTGTGCGTTGAATGCACACATCACAATGAAGTTTCT
Organism: Homo sapiens; assembly: GCF_000001405.40. Classification (NCBI taxonomy): domain Eukaryota; kingdom Metazoa; phylum Chordata; class Mammalia; order Primates; family Hominidae; genus Homo; species Homo sapiens. The sequence continues at coordinate 51,088,789 of NC_000011.10, read as the reverse complement.
GAGAATGATTCTGTGTAGTTTTTATGTGAAGATATTTCCTTTTTCACAAGAGTCCTCAAATTGCTCCAAATATCCACTTGCAGATACTATAAAAAGAGTGTTTCAAAACTGCTGTATCAAAAGGAATGTTCATGTGTTTGAGTTGAATGCACACATCACAAAGAAGTTTCTGAGAATGCTTCTGTCTAGTTTTTATGTGAGGAAATACCCGTTTTCAATGAATTCCACAAAGCGGTCCAAATATCCACGTACAGATTCTACAAAAAGAGTGTTTCAAAACTGCTCCATCAAAAGGAATGTTCAATATGGTGAGTTGAATACACACATCACGAAGAAGTCTCTGAGAATGCTTCCGTCAAGTTTTTATGTAAAGATATTTAATTTTTCACCATAGGTATCAAGGCGCTCCAAATGTCTAATTGAGGATTCTACAAAAAAAGAGTGTTTCAAAACTGCTTTATCAAAAGAAAGTTTCAAATCTGTGAGTTGAATGCACACATCACAAAGAAGTTTCTGAGAATGTTTTTTTCTTGTTTTTCTGTGAAGATATCCCCGTGTCCAAAGAAGTCCTCAAAGCAATCCAAATATCCACTTGCAGATTCTACAAAAAGAGTGTTTCAAACTGCTCTATTAAAGGGAAACTTCCACTCTTTGAGTTGAATGCACACATCACAAAGAATTTTCTGAGAATGCTTCTGTCTAGTTTTTATGTGAAGATATTCCCGTTTCCTATGGATTACACAAAGCGGCCCAAATATCCACTTGCAGATTCTATGAAAAGAGTTCTTCAAAACTGCTCTAACAAAAGGAATGTTCAGCTCTGTGAGTTGAATCCACACATCACAAAGAAGTTTCTGAGAATACTACTGTTTAGTTTTCATATAAAGATATTTCCTTTTTCACCATAGCCCTCAAAGCGCTCCAAATGTCCACTTGCACATCCATATAAAACGGTGTTTCAAATCTACTCTATCAAAAGAAAGGTTCAACTCTGTGAGTTGAATGCACATATCACAAAGCTGTTTCTGAGAATGCTTTTCTGTTGTTTTTATATAAAGATATTCCATTTTTCCAATGAGGGCCTCAAAGCGGTCCAAATATCCACATGCAGATCCTACAAAAAGTGTGTTTCAAAACTGCTCTATCAAGAGGAATTTTCAACTCTGTGAGTTGAATGCACACATCACAAAGAAGTTTCTGAGAATGCATCTGTCTAGTTTGTATGCGAAGATATACCCGTTTTCAACGAATTCCTAATCGCCGTCCAAATATCCACTTGCAGATTCTGCAAAAAGTGAGTTTCATACCTGCTCTATCAAAAGGAATGTTCAGCTCTGTGAGTTGAATGCAAACATCAAAAAGAAGTTTCTGAGAATGCTTCTGTCTAGTTTTTATGTGAAGATATTTCCTTTTTCAATATAGGCCACAGAGCGCTCCAAATATCCACTTGCAGATTATACAAAAAGTGTGTTTCAATACTGCTCTATCAAAAGAAAGTTTGAACTCTGTGAGTTGAATGCACGCGTCACAAAGTAGTTTCTGAGAAGGCTTTTGTGTAGTTTTTATATGATGATATTCCTGTTACCAACAAAGCCCTCAAAGCGATCGAAATATTCGCTTGCACATTCTACAAAAAGAGTGTTTCAGTACTTCTCTATCAAAATGGATGTTCAACTCGGTGTGTTGAATGCACTCATCACAAAGAAGTTTCTGAGAATGCTTCTGTCTAGTTTTTATGTTACGTTATTTCCTTTTTCAGCATAGGCCTGAAAGCGCTCCCAATGTCCACTTGCAGATTCTACAAATAGAGTGATTCAAAACTGCTCTATCAAAAGAAATATTCAACTCTGTCAGTTGAATGCACACATCACAAAGAAGTTTCTGAAAATGCTTCTGTCTTGTTTTTAGATGAAGATATTCCTGTTTCAAACAAAGGACTCAAAGTGGTCCAAGTATCCACATGCAGATTCTACAAAAAGAGTGTTTCAAAACTGGTCTATCAAAACGAATGTTCAACTCTGTGAGTTGAATGCACACACCACTAAGAAGTTTCTGAGAATGCTTCTGTCTAGTTTTTATGTGAAGATATTTCCATTTTCACCATCGGCCGCAAAGCGCCCCAAATGTCCACTTGCAGATCCTTCAAATAGAGTGTTTCAAAAGTGCTCTATCAAAAGGAATGTTCAACTCTGTGAGTTGAATGCACAGATCACAAAAAAGTTTATGAGAATGCTTCTGTATAGTTTTTATGTTAAGATATACCCGTTTCCAACGAATTCCAAAAGTGGTACCAATATCCACTTGCAGATTCTACAAAAAGAGTGTTTCAAAACTGCTCTATCCAAAGAAAGTTTCAACTCTGTGCGTTGAATGCACACATCACAATGAAGTTTCTGAGAATGCTTCTGTGTAGTTTTTATGTGAAGGTATTTCCTTTTTCACAAGAGTCCTCAAATCGCTCCAAATATCCACTTGCAGATACTATAAAAAGAGTGTTTCAAAACTGCTGTATCAAAAGGAATGTTCATGTGTTTGAGTTGAATGCACACATCACAAAGAAGTTTCTGAGAATGCTTCTATCTAGTTTTTATGTTAAGATATACCCGTTTCCAACGAATTCCAAAAGCGGTACAAATATCCACTTGCAGATCCTACAAAAAGAGTATTTCAAAACTGCTCTATCCAAAGAAAGTTTCAACTCTGTGCGTTGAATGCACACATCACAATGAAGTTTCTGAGAATGCTTCTGTGTAGTTTTTATGTGAAGATATTTCCTTTTTCACAAGAGTCCTCAAATTGCTCCAAATATCCACTTGCAGATACTATAAAAAGAGTGTTTCAAAACTGCTGTATCAAAAGGAATGTTCATGTGTTTGAGTTGAATGCACACATCACAAAGAAGTTTCTGAGAATGCTTCTGTCTAGTTTTTATGTTAAGATATACTCGTTTCCAACGAATTCCAAAAGCGGTACAAATATCCACTTGCAGATCCCACAAAAAGAGTATTTCAAAACTGCTCTATCCAAAGAAAGTTTCAACTCTGTGCGTTGAATGCACACATCACAATGAAGTTTCTGAGAATGATTCTGTGTAGTTTTTATGTGAAGATATTTCCTTTTTCACAAGAGTCCTCAAATTGCTCCAAATATCCACTTGCAGATACTATAAAAAGAGTGTTTCAAAACTGCTGTATCAAAAGGAATGTTCATGTGTTTGAGTTGAATGCACACATCACAAAGAAGTTTCTGAGAATGCTTCTGTCTAGTTTTTATGTGAGGAAATACCCGTTTTCAATGAATTCCACAAAGCGGTCCAAATATCCACGTACAGATTCTACAAAAAGAGTGTTTCAAAACTGCTCCATCAAAAGAAATGTTCAATATGGTGAGTTGAATACACACATCACGAAGAAGTCTCTGAGAATGCTTCCGTCAAGTTTTTATGTAAAGATATTTAATTTTTCACCATAGGTATCAAGGCGCTCCAAATGTCTAATTGAGGATTCTACAAAAAAAGAGTGTTTCAAAACTGCTTTATCAAAAGAAAGTTTCAAATCTGTGAGTTGAATGCACACATCACAAAGAAGTTTCTGAGAATGTTTTTTTCTTGTTTTTCTGTGAAGATATCCCAGTGTCCAAAGAAGTCCTCAAAGCAATCCAAATATCCACTTGCAGATTCTACAAAAAGAGTGTTTCAAACTGCTCTATTAAAGGGAAACTTCCACTCTTTGAGTTGAATGCACACATCACAAAGAATTTTCTGAGAATGCTTCTGTCTAGTTTTTATGTGAAGATATTCCCGTTTCCTATGGATTACACAAAGCGGCCCAAATATCCACTTGCAGATTCTATGAAAAGAGTTCTTCAAAACTGCTCTAACAAAAGGAATGTTCAGCTCTGTGAGTTGAATCCACACATCACAAAGAAGTTTCTGAGAATACTACTGTTTAGTTTTCATATAAAGATATTTCCTTTTTCACCATAGCCCTCAAAGCGCTCCAAATGTCCACTTGCACATCCATATAAAACGGTGTTTCAAATCTACTCTATCAAAAGAAAGGTTCAACTCTGTGAGTTGAATGCACATATCACAAAGCTGTTTCTGAGAATGCTTTTCTGTTGTTTTTATATAAAGATATTCCATTTTTCCAATGAGGGCCTCAAAGCGGTCCAAATATCCACATGCAGATCCTACAAAAAGTGTGTTTCAAAACTGCTCTATCAAGAGGAATTTTCAACTCTGTGAGTTGAATGCACACATCACAAAGAAGTTTCTGAGAATGCATCTGTCTAGTTTGTATGCGAAGATATACCCGTTTTCAACGAATTCCTAATCGCCGTCCAAATATCCACTTGCAGATTCTGCAAAAAGTGAGTTTCATACCTGCTCTATCAAAAGGAATGTTCAGCTCTGTGAGTTGAATGCAAACATCAAAAAGAAGTTTCTGAGAATGCTTCTGTCTAGTTTTTATGTGAAGATATTTCCTTTTTCAATATAGGCCACAGAGCGCTCCAAATATCCACTTGCAGATTATACAAAAAGTGTGTTTCAATACTGCTCTATCAAAAGAAAGTTTGAACTCTGTGAGTTGAATGCACGCGTCACAAAGTAGTTTCTGAGAAGGCTTTTGTGTAGTTTTTATATGATGATATTCCTGTTACCAACAAAGCCCTCAAAGCGATCGAAATATTCGCTTGCACATTCTACAAAAAGAGTGTTTCAGTACTTCTCTATCAAAATGGATGTTCAACTCGGTGTGTTGAATGCACTCATCACAAAGAAGTTTCTGAGAATGCTTCTGTCTAGTTTTTATGTTACGTTATTTCCTTTTTCAGCATAGGCCTGAAAGCGCTCCCAATGTCCACTTGCAGATTCTACAAATAGAGTGATTCAAAACTGCTCTATCAAAAGAAATATTCAACTCTGTCAGTTGAATGCACACATCACAAAGAAGTTTCTGAAAATGCTTCTGTCTTGTTTTTAGATGAAGATATTCCTGTTTCAAACAAAGGACTCAAAGTGGTCCAAGTATCCACATGCAGATTCTACAAAAAGAGTGTTTCAAAACTGGTCTATCAAAACGAATGTTCAACTCTGTGAGTTGAATGCACACACCACTAAGAAGTTTCTGAGAATGCTTCTGTCTAGTTTTTATGTGAAGATATTTCCATTTTCACCATCGGCCGCAAAGCGCCCCAAATGTCCACTTGCAGATCCTTCAAATAGAGTGTTTCAAAAGTGCTCTATCAAAAGGAATGTTCAACTCTGTGAGTTGAATGCACAGATCACAAAAAAGTTTATGAGAATGCTTCTGTATAGTTTTTATGTTAAGATATACCCGTTTCCAACGAATTCCAAAAGTGGTACCAATATCCACTTGCAGATTCTACAAAAAGAGTGTTTCAAAACTGCTCTATCCAAAGAAAGTTTCAACTCTGTGCGTTGAATGCACACATCACAATGAAGTTTCTGAGAATGCTTCTGTGTAGTTTTTATGTGAAGGTATTTCCTTTTTCACAAGAGTCCTCAAATCGCTCCAAATATCCACTTGCAGATACTATAAAAAGAGTGTTTCAAAACTGCTGTATCAAAAGGAATGTTCATGTGTTTGAGTTGAATGCACACATCACAAAGAAGTTTCTGAGAATGCTTCTGTCTAGTTTTTATGTTAAGATATACTCGTTTCCAACGAATTCCAAAAGCGGTACAAATATCCACTTGCAGATCCCACAAAAAGAGTATTTCAAAACTGCTCTATCCAAAGAAAGTTTCAACTCTGTGCGTTGAATGCACACATCACAATGAAGTTTCTGAGAATGATTCTGTGTAGTTTTTATGTGAAGATATTTCCTTTTTCACAAGAGTCCTCAAATTGCTCCAAATATCCACTTGCAGATACTATAAAAAGAGTGTTTCAAAACTGCTGTATCAAAAGGAATGTTCATGTGTTTGAGTTGAATGCACACATCACAAAGAAGTTTCTGAGAATGCTTCTGTCTAGTTTTTATGTGAGGAAATACCCGTTTTCAATGAATTCCACAAAGCGGTCCAAATATCCACGTACAGATTCTACAAAAAGAGTGTTTCAAAACTGCTCCATCAAAAGGAATGTTCAATATGGTGAGTTGAATACACACATCACGAAGAAGTCTCTGAGAATGCTTCCGTCAAGTTTTTATGTAAAGATATTTAATTTTTCACCATAGGTATCAAGGCGCTCCAAATGTCTAATTGAGGATTCTACAAAAAAAGAGTGTTTCAAAACTGCTTTATCAAAAGAAAGTTTCAAATCTGTGAGTTGAATGCACACATCACAAAGAAGTTTCTGAGAATGTTTTTTTCTTGTTTTTCTGTGAAGATATCCCCGTGTCCAAAGAAGTCCTCAAAGCAATCCAAATATCCACTTGCAGATTCTACAAAAAGAGTGTTTCAAACTGCTCTATTAAAGGGAAACTTCCACTCTTTGAGTTGAATGCACACATCACAAAGAATTTTCTGAGAATGCTTCTGTCTAGTTTTTATGTGAAGATATTCCCGTTTCCTATGGATTACACAAAGCGGCCCAAATATCCACTTGCAGATTCTATGAAAAGAGTTCTTCAAAACTGCTCTAACAAAAGGAATGTTCAGCTCTGTGAGTTGAATCCACACATCACAAAGAAGTTTCTGAGAATACTACTGTTTAGTTTTCATATAAAGATATTTCCTTTTTCACCATAGCCCTCAAAGCGCTCCAAATGTCCACTTGCACATCCATATAAAACGGTGTTTCAAATCTACTCTATCAAAAGAAAGGTTCAACTCTGTGAGTTGAATGCACATATCACAAAGCTGTTTCTGAGAATGCTTTTCTGTTGTTTTTATATAAAGATATTCCATTTTTCCAATGAGGGCCTCAAAGCGGTCCAAATATCCACATGCAGATCCTACAAAAAGTGTGTTTCAAAACTGCTCTATCAAGAGGAATTTTCAACTCTGTGAGTTGAATGCACACATCACAAAGAAGTTTCTGAGAATGCATCTGTCTAGTTTGTATGCGAAGATATACCCGTTTTCAACGAATTCCTAATCGCCGTCCAAATATCCACTTGCAGATTCTGCAAAAAGTGAGTTTCATACCTGCTCTATCAAAAGGAATGTTCAGCTCTGTGAGTTGAATGCAAACATCAAAAAGAAGTTTCTGAGAATGCTTCTGTCTAGTTTTTATGTGAAGATATTTCCTTTTTCAATATAGGCCACAGAGCGCTCCAAATATCCACTTGCAGATTATACAAAAAGTGTGTTTCAATACTGCTCTATCAAAAGAAAGTTTGAACTCTGTGAGTTGAATGCACGCGTCACAAAGTAGTTTCTGAGAAGGCTTTTGTGTAGTTTTTATATGATGATATTCCTGTTACCAACAAAGCCCTCAAAGCGATCGAAATATTCGCTTGCACATTCTACAAAAAGAGTGTTTCAGTACTTCTCTATCAAAATGGATGTTCAACTCGGTGTGTTGAATGCACTCATCACAAAGAAGTTTCTGAGAATGCTTCTGTCTAGTTTTTATGTTACGTTATTTCCTTTTTCAGCATAGGCCTGAAAGCGCTCCCAATGTCCACTTGCAGATTCTACAAATAGAGTGATTCAAAACTGCTCTATCAAAAGAAATATTCAACTCTGTCAGTTGAATGCACACATCACAAAGAAGTTTCTGAAAATGCTTCTGTCTTGTTTTTAGATGAAGATATTCCTGTTTCAAACAAAGGACTCAAAGTGGTCCAAGTATCCACATGCAGATTCTACAAAAAGAGTGTTTCAAAACTGGTCTATCAAAACGAATGTTCAACTCTGTGAGTTGAATGCACACACCACTAAGAAGTTTCTGAGAATGCTTCTGTCTAGTTTTTATGTGAAGATATTTCCATTTTCACCATCGGCCGCAAAGCGCCCCAAATGTCCACTTGCAGATCCTTCAAATAGAGTGTTTCAAAAGTGCTCTATCAAAAGGAATGTTCAACTCTGTGAGTTGAATGCACAGATCACAAAAAAGTTTATGAGAATGCTTCTGTATAGTTTTTATGTTAAGATATACCCGTTTCCAACGAATTCCAAAAGTGGTACCAATATCCACTTGCAGATTCTACAAAAAGAGTGTTTCAAAACTGCTCTATCCAAAGAAAGTTTCAACTCTGTGCGTTGAATGCACACATCACAATGAAGTTTCTGAGAATGCTTCTGTGTAGTTTTTATGTGAAGGTATTTCCTTTTTCACAAGAGTCCTCAAATCGCTCCAAATATCCACTTGCAGATACTATAAAAAGAGTGTTTCAAAACTGCTGTATCAAAAGGAATGTTCATGTGTTTGAGTTGAATGCACACATCACAAAGAAGTTTCTGAGAATGCTTCTGTCTAGTTTTTATGTTAAGATATACTCGTTTCCAACGAATTCCAAAAGCGGTACAAATATCCACTTGCAGATCCCACAAAAAGAGTATTTCAAAACTGCTCTATCCAAAGAAAGTTTCAACTCTGTGCGTTGAATGCACACATCACAATGAAGTTTCTGAGAATGATTCTGTGTAGTTTTTATGTGAAGATATTTCCTTTTTCACAAGAGTCCTCAAATTGCTCCAAATATCCACTTGCAGATACTATAAAAAGAGTGTTTCAAAACTGCTGTATCAAAAGGAATGTTCATGTGTTTGAGTTGAATGCACACATCACAAAGAAGTTTCTGAGAATGCTTCTGTCTAGTTTTTATGTGAGGAAATACCCGTTTTCAATGAATTCCACAAAGCGGTCCAAATATCCACGTACAGATTCTACAAAAAGAGTGTTTCAAAACTGCTCCATCAAAAGGAATGTTCAATATGGTGAGTTGAATACACACATCACGAAGAAGTCTCTGAGAATGCTTCCGTCAAGTTTTTATGTAAAGATATTTAATTTTTCACCATAGGTATCAAGGCGCTCCAAATGTCTAATTGAGGATTCTACAAAAAAAGAGTGTTTCAAAACTGCTTTATCAAAAGAAAGTTTCAAATCTGTGAGTTGAATGCACACATCACAAAGAAGTTTCTGAGAATGTTTTTTTCTTGTTTTTCTGTGAAGATATCCCCGTGTCCAAAGAAGTCCTCAAAGCAATCCAAATATCCACTTGCAGATTCTACAAAAAGAGTGTTTCAAACTGCTCTATTAAAGGGAAACTTCCACTCTTTGAGTTGAATGCACACATCACAAAGAATTTTCTGAGAATGCTTCTGTCTAGTTTTTATGTGAAGATATTCCCGTTTCCTATGGATTACACAAAGCGGCCCAAATATCCACTTGCAGATTCTATGAAAAGAGTTCTTCAAAACTGCTCTAACAAAAGGAATGTTCAGCTCTGTGAGTTGAATCCACACATCACAAAGAAGTTTCTGAGAATACTACTGTTTAGTTTTCATATAAAGATATTTCCTTTTTCACCATAGCCCTCAAAGCACTCCAAATGTCCACTTGCACATCCATATAAAACGGTGTTTCAAATCTACTCTATCAAAAGAAAGGTTCAACTCTGTGAGTTGAATGCACATATCACAAAGCTGTTTCTGAGAATGCTTTTCTGTTGTTTTTATATAAAGATATTCCATTTTTCCAATGAGGGCCTCAAAGCGGTCCAAATATCCACATGCAGATCCTACAAAAAGTGTGTTTCAAAACTGCTCTATCAAGAGGAATTTTCAACTCTGTGAGTTGAATGCACACATCACAAAGAAGTTTCTGAGAATGCATCTGTCTAGTTTGTATGCGAAGATATACCCGTTTTCAACGAATTCCTAATCGCCGTCCAAATATCCACTTGCAGATTCTGCAAAAAGTGAGTTTCATACCTGCTCTATCAAAAGGAATGTTCAGCTCTGTGAGTTGAATGCAAACATCAAAAAGAAGTTTCTGAGAATGCTTCTGTCTAGTTTTTATGTGAAGATATTTCCTTTTTCAATATAGGCCACAGAGCGCTCCAAATATCCACTTGCAGATTATACAAAAAGTGTGTTTCAATACTGCTCTATCAAAAGAAAGTTTGAACTCTGTGAGTTGAATGCACGCGTCACAAAGTAGTTTCTGAGAAGGCTTTTGTGTAGTTTTTATATGATGATATTCCTGTTACCAACAAAGCCCTCAAAGCGATCGAAATATTCGCTTGCACATTCTACAAAAAGAGTGTTTCAGTACTTCTCTATCAAAATGGATGTTCAACTCGGTGTGTTGAATGCACTCATCACAAAGAAGTTTCTGAGAATGCTTCTGTCTAGTTTTTATGTTACGTTATTTCCTTTTTCAGCATAGGCCTGAAAGCGCTCCCAATGTCCACTTGCAGATTCTACAAATAGAGTGATTCAAAACTGCTCTATCAAAAGAAATATTCAACTCTGTCAGTTGAATGCACACATCACAAAGAAGTTTCTGAAAATGCT